>NC_000007.14:122203748-122506779 GCF_000001405.40 Homo sapiens | reverse complement strand
TTCATGATTAAATTCAGCTCTGGTGTAGTTTGTTTGTTTTTTTTTTTTTTTTAAATAACTCTAGCAGCACCTTTGGCCTCTGCCAAGAACATTTCCAGCTAGGGATTTTTAAAGCCTTAATCTTCACTGAAATTAGATGGTGGCAGTTGCTAAGCTGCCAGCTGTTAACATCCCTGCAGTAGGAATACGACATACAAACCTGAATGCTGTGGTCTCTAGAATCCCATAGTTAGCACTTAACATGTGTGGACACAGACAGGTATTGCACAGGTTGGCAATTGAGGACAAAATGGGAGGTTTCGTATACCAGATGCAGATACCTTGTGGTACTACAGCAACTTAGGTGCCCTATCAAAAGCAGTGATGCTGAAACCTGATTTAATTCTGTCCCCAGATTAAAGTCTGTTCATATCTCCCAATTCTCAACAAATCCATTCTTTACAGAGTTATTAAGAGTGGATTGGGTAAAAGATATTGAATGTTTCTCATTGCTGTGCTTCCACTGAAGGGATTTTCGATTTCAATTTAGTAAATTATATAAGCTTTGTTCAGAAATACACAAGTAGGCTCGTAAATGAAAACAAATACCGGATCAGAATAGGTCAAACCACCTGTTGTCTATCTAATTCCCTGGCAAGTGGTGACGAGGCAGAGTAGAGGCTGCAAGACTGCCTCTAAGTGGGAGCACAGGGAGCAGGGTGACCCTGCTAATCTTTCAGCAGCATATTTTAACTATTAGTGCCAACTGATACAGGTCTGAGTACAATTTCTCCAGATTACCCGTGAACTGGTAACTGGCTAGTAAACCAGCAGCTACAGGTGTTAGTACTATTCAGGAACACCTGAATTTACCCTGTGGGTTTGTTCTAGGTCTGGCCTTGGGAATGTGATTTATTATTACCTTGCAAAGGGGATGGATAAAAGTAAGATCTCTTGGGATATTAAAGGAACTAAAAGAAGGATGAAATATGGCAACATTTTATGGAAACAGAACCAGGAATCAGTGAGCCCAAAAGATAGCATTAATAGGTTGCAGCTTCTGGAGTTGATGTATTCGAAACGCCAGATTGCACCTTTTTCAGTTGTCTCATGGCTCACATTTCCTAATTGTCAGTGACAGCTCTGTTAGTTGTTGGTATTTTATTACTCTTCCATCTGTACTCTTTGTTATATCTCTAGGCCCAATTATCTATGACAGAGTCTAGGTCTGTTGGATGATATTTTAGATATTAAACAAAATATTTAAGAAGTTAAAAGCTAAAAGCAAATGTTTCAATACTTTGCCATTTAAGTGACCATGCCTCTAGAAATGGAGTGATTCCTCTAAACCTGAAGTTTTTGACTTCTTGATTTTTGTTGTTGTACCTTCAGACTTGTTAAATTGGTACTTAAAATTTTATATCTCTAGCATTTTTTAAAAAATAATTGTCTCATTTAAAGCTAGCTAGAGATACAATACTTATAGCATAAAACAGCAACTTCAAGTTGTACTTCAGGTTATGTGAAGAAAAATGCACATTAATGTAAGCATTTCACCTCACATGTCTTTTGACAACTAATTTATAAGGCTAGCTCTTAAATAGCAGGTAAATTTTTGGCATTTTGGGTGGGTTACACACATCAAGTCTGTACTCTTTAACACATGACAATATGAACATGTTAATTATATAAAGAGCTTTTGGAAGTAATCAACATTTGGTTTTTAAGAAAGCAATAATTTTTAAAAGACATTATAATGTATAATTAAGATAATGTCCATTAGAAATAGACAAATTTAGTATCTAAAACTACATTTAGGTGTATTAGCACTTTTCCTCACTTTCTCAGTTTCTTATAAATTTACGTATTCTTCCACCAAACATCTTCATCAACACAGCCACTGTGTTCTTTCTTTGCTGATAAAAGTTGTGAAAACGGACTGGGCATGGTGATGATACCTATAATCCCAGCTACTCCAGAAACTGAGATTGCTTGAGGCCAGGAGTTTGAGAGCTTGAGACCAGTCTGAACAACGTAGTGAGACCCCATGTCTGTATTATTTTTTAATTAACTGGGCACAGTGGCATGCACCTGTAGTCCCAGTTACTTGGGAGGCTGAGGTGGGAGGATCACTTGAGACCAGGAATTCGAGGTTACAGTGAGCTATCATCGCACCACTGCACTCCAGCCTAGGTGACAGAGTGAGATCCTGTCTCTAAAAATAAAAGAAACATGCCCTGAGAGTGGGAAGAAAGGTAGGGGTGGGGAAAGCCAAGTGAGGCCAGGAGACAGAAGTCAGAAACATGGAGTGTCAGCAGCCCTCAGCTCATTCACAGTGTGGAAGCATGTGGTTTGAAGAGAGTTCAATCCCCAAGTCAATCAGGTGCTGACTATACTGCGTTATAGTAACACCTGTGTCCTGTACCCAACATGAAACAATTCTTCTAAGACTCAAAAAGAATAAAGTGAGAGGAGGGTGGTGGCTCCCTGACAACTGAATTAGATTCACGGGGAGACCACTGTGTAACAGGCATGCATTGTGCTAGGTACTCCCACATCAGTTCTCTCCAATTCTCTCAAAATCCTGTAAGGTCTATTATTGTTTTTCTTATATTACAGAAAAATTAAATGAGATATATAAGACTTAAAATGATTTTTCTAAAGCCTTGTCAAAAATAAGTATGAAAGAATAAGGATAAGTAAGTAATTGAGGGGAGAAAATGAAAGTGGAATTTGCATTTGACATAGCAGATTGATCTGTTAAACCTGGTTTATCTTCCCTTCACTTCCAGTTGAAATACCTTAATATGGTTGTCTTCAGAGAGGCCTTTCTGACCACACTATTGAAAATAGAATGCTTTTAATGTCTCTTTCCTCTGCTTTGTTTTCCTGCAAAACAATTCATCACCCAAATTATTTTCAGTACCTCCTAATTGCAATTCATTTATCTCCTCCATTCTCACTCTATGAGATGGCTTTTTTTCCCAATTCTGAGGCACTGTTGTGTACCCAAAGCCTGGAAAAATTCACTGTAGATGCATGATAAATATTTGGTGAATGAATAAGTGCACGGATGAATGAATGAGAGGGAGGAAAAAAGTACTTATAAGAACATAAGGGGAGATACAGAGGTTATAAATACACAAGAAACTAAATTCAGTAACTTACTATTTTGTTTAGTATGACTAATCCACAGATCTCAAAAGACATCAAGAAAGGAGTATATCTCTGTAAAAGACAACATAGGAAAGAGCAATCATATTAGTATTAAACTATTTTGCCAATGTGTCCCTTAAAATAATTTTATACAACTGTGCATCCTCCTAAGTCTTTCATCATGAGTTTAAATAGTTGCAGTAGATACTAGTTTCTAAGATAAAAACCACTAAATCATTCAGTAACGTGTTCAATAGAATCTAAATACTTTTGTGATTTTATATCTACTTGCAATCATTGAAAATTGTATTGGCCGTGCACAGTGGCTCACACCTGTAATCCCAGCATTTTGGGAGGCCGAGGCGAGCAGATCACAAGGTCAGGAGTTCAAGACCAGCCTGGCCAGCATGGCGAAACCCCATCTCTACTAAAAATACAAAAATTAGCCAGCCAGGTGTGGTGGCACGTGCCTGTAATCCCAGCTACTCCTGAGACTGAGGCAGGAGAATCGCTTGAACCCAGGAGGCAGAGGTTACAGTGAGCCGAGATAGTGCCACTGCACTCCAGCCTGGGCGACAGAGCGAGACCCCGTCTCAAAAAAAAAAAAAAAAAAAGTTTTTTTCTCCTTGAAGTCTTATTTCTATTGTGCTTTCCCAGCAAGATATTCTTATGAAATAAGTGTTATGGCTGAAAATCTTGGTCACTCTGTCATGCTTCTCTACAATTAAAAAAATCTATAAAATTGGACTTAATAAAAAGTTTCTATAACCAAAAAGCTCAAAAAAAGAAAAAAATACAGTTCACATTGCTGAACATATTTAAAGGAGAATTCCTGACATTTGAGAGATAAATGAGTATGATCTCAGACATGTGAAACTTAAGATGTAGAAGAATTAGAATAATAATGAAATAAACGCATATGGTTTATTTTATTCTTGTAAAATATTTTGGCGGCTCAATTAAACATGAAAAATTATTCCTGAGATAGGTTATAGAAATATAATTAAGTAATTATTACAAAATGTGAATCCTAACCTCTAGATTTTGTCAAAATAATGAATGGAACAATAAAACAGGTTCTAGTCCTCATGTTATATACAGCCAGTGAAAAAATTATTTTGTTTTTCAATAAATAGAGAAAATATGGGTTATGTCTTTAAAACTTTTAAAGAAACTATTATAGTATAAAAATTAAATGCTAAGAAAACTTTAATTACCAAATAATAGAAGATAAAGAGGAAAAAAAAGCAAGACAAAATATATTAGTTCTTATTATAAATAAGTTAAATGGACCTGTTAACAGTCAGCTTCTCAGAATGAAAAAACTAAAGGGATGACAATATTAATTTCAGACCTAGTTAGTGAAATTTAAGAGAAAAATTATTAAATACCTCCAAAGATTACAATTTTATGTTAAGGATATTAACAATTACTATAAAACAAATGATGGTGATTTATTGAACACATACCTGAGAAAAGAGAATAAAAGCGTACTACCTTGAATTATTTGCTATTCAATTCACTTTTCTCTTTCTCCAACACCTTTAGTGATTTTTGATCATGGACTCAGTGCTATCTGAAATAATAACTTTGCCAGAAATTAAGAGGTAATTGGCTTGCTATTCGGGAATACAGTTGTTTTTAAGTTTCAGAATGAGAATGTATAAAATAATATGATATATTGGAAAGAATATCCATTGAACTACAGAGAGTTGTGTTCTAGACTCAAGGTGACTTTTTTTTTCCTTTTTTTTTTTTTTTTTTTTTTTTGAGACGGAGTCTTGCCTTGTTGCCCAGGCTGGAGTGCAGTGGTGCGATCTCAGCTCACTGCAACCTCTACCTCCCAGGTTCAAGTGATTCTCCTGCCTCAGCCTCCCGAGTAGCTGGGACTACAGGCGTGTGCCACCACGCCTGGCTAATTTTTTGTATTTTTAGTAGAGATGGGGTTTCACTACCGTCTCTACGGTACATTTTCTACGGTGTTAGCCAGGATGGTCTCGATCTCCTGATCTCGTGATCTGCCTGCCTCGGCCTCCCAAAGTGCTGGGATTACAGGCATGTACCACCATGCCTGGCCAAGGTGACCCTTTTTATCTGGGTGACCTTGGAAAGTTACTTCCCTCATCCATGAAAGCTGGAGTTTAGACCTCAATCTCAAAGGCCCAGACCTTGTCTCTCAATGCTAGTGTGAGAGAATTACTTAGAGTATAATATTTCATTTTCTTTTCAGTGAAGCTTGGTTCTTTATTTAACTACTTATGATTTAGTGAGTTTTGAATCCTCTAAAAATCATAGTTTTAAATTTCCAAATGTAATATCTTCAAATCCTTGCTACATAATCAAAATCTATAATTCTATCATATGTAATAATGTTTTTTTTGTTTTGTTTTTGAGACAGAGTTCACTCTGTCACCCAGACTAGAGTGCAGTGGTGCCAACATGACTCACTGCCACCTTGAATCCCTGGACTTAAGTGATCCTCCCACCTTATCCTCCCAAGTAGCTGGGACTACAGGCATATGCCATCATGCCTAGCTGATTTTTAAAGTTTTTAAAAGATGGGGGTCTCGTTTAGTTGCCTACGCTAGTCTTGAACTCCTAGCCTCAAGTGATCATCTCACCTCAGCCTCCCAAAGTGCTGGGATTCCAGGTACAAGCCACTGTGCCTGGCCTAGATTTAGAATTAAATTATACATTTTATTATGTTCCATTACAATTCCAAAAACACCACTTTTTCCTGACTAGTTTTCAGTTCACAATACCTTCCAATATTTTTGCTTTACCTTTTTCTCCAAGTACTAATATATAAAATATAAAAATATCTTGCCACTTACATAAGTCAGATATTTTTGTGAAGGTAAGAGTGTCTTTGTAATGGGAATAATAACTCCCTAATTAGTTGTTTCCTAAGTTATTGTTTTTGATTCTTTGTTAATTTTGTTTGTTTCCAAATTTCCTTGGTATTTTGATGGCTTTCTTATAACTATGGTCACATCATAGCTATCTGTGTATCCTGAAAGGGTAAGCCTGGTTTCTCCATGGCTCTGACATCTGTGTCCGTAACATAATGGGGTGCCTACTTGCATGAGGGGATGTTTACTGTTTCTTGAGTGTTTTCAGTGGAGTGTATGACATTTAAAAATCAAATGTCATTTGTTATGGTAAGTGGAAGAGGATACATTTAAGAGTACAAGTTGAGTTATGTGTGCTGTTAAACTGTTAGTTTTTTTTTAAGACGATAAATATGTGGCTTATACTTTCAAAAATAGTACATTTTCAAATATGGCAGAATATTTACTGAATTGAAATAAATTTCGTGCCAAAATACAGAAGCAGTGACTCTGTGCCACACACTGTGGAAGCCATTTTATACGTATTATGAAGACACTGAGTCAGAAACAAAAAAATGACAAACAAGGTTAGAATGGTAAAGGGGACAAATTTGTTAAAAACTTGGAAAAAGGAGTAGGGTTTTATTAGATTGAGAAATATATAGAAATGGAATTTTAAACATAAAGGTGATATTTTTCTGCTTGGCAGTTCAGGTGAAGAACTGAATTAAAGTGGGTGAGTCTTGCTGGATGGTCCGTCTGGAGTACTTTACACAGCGGTAGCTATAGATTGCAGCTAGTCATTGATGGAAATGTTTGTGAGCCAGGCAGGGAAGGCAGACCTTCCCATGCCCTTCATCTCTCTCCCAGCAGGTTCCAGATTGTTCATGTGGTGATGTGTCAGGTGACTTTTTTTAGTCAGGTTTTTAAGATTCTTCCAAATAAGAGAAGAAGATGAGAAACTTATGAATTAGCTGCCCAATATATTTTCTATTATTTCAATAGTTGATGATAAAAGTATTACTTTGTAGAGGTCCCCTGGTGTTGAATAATTATAACTTAAGGATACATAAGACACATTTCACACAGTGTGTTTACTTGCATACCCTAACCCCATCGTCATAGTTTCTTCTTTTCTTTTCTGAAATGTAGTGAAAAGGACTTACACAGTTTTTCTCATACATATAAAAGTTAGACTTGCTATTTGGAAAGTTCATAAAGCAAAATTAAAGGATTGATCAAAAGATTTAAATTGGTAGTTTTGGCTAGTCTTAAAGGTAATATTAAGAATTCCTTTTTGGCCAATACCTAGAAATGCCGAATAAAATATAGTGCCCATGTTTTTAAATACGTAGGTCAAGTGAAGGAAAAAAAAGAAAAACTTTAGAGACCACAAACACCTAGAATGGTTATGATTGTGAGTTGACATTGTGGCTACAATAGTGCTGGAGTTTGAAATTAGTGGATGTTGATGTTGTTAGGTAGGCACTTGAGATTTTATTGCTCATGCAGAGAAAGAAGATGTACCATGAGGTATTCTTAAAGTGGGTATTTGGAACAGAGATCTTATAAAGAACTTAAAAGAACTAGATCTCTGTGAAATGATGGGCTAGAAAAAAAATCTGCCCTTGGGCAATTAATCTTGTGTTTGAGCTGAAGCTCTGAATATGCAGGAAAATTAACCCTCAGAATTTTTAACTGTTAGCTTGTACTTAAAGAATGTCAAAGTCCCAGTTTATTTTATTAAATATAAGGGAAATACCTAAGCTAGGAAATTAACATAAAAAGCAATCCTGGATTGGTGATGACCATGGAGCAGCTGGCATTTTTAAAAATTGCTTTTTATTGGAAGGTGAGCCCTTAAGCTAGGCTTTGTAGGATATCCAGAGATAACACTGTGTTTATTATTAGCTCACAATCTAAAATTACAAAACTAAATTGATCATTTACACCACTAAGAATTTCAGCAATACAGCTCTCACATACATAAATTATAAAATAATTTTATTTAAGGTGATGAAATTTATAAGCAGGTTCAAAAATATAATAAAAAACAATAACAAAAAAGAAAATAACAGTATGCAAAGTGAACCAGCAGATTTGGAAAAGGATCATATAGAACTTCCAAAACTTCAAAACACAGTCACTAAAATTAGAACCTCCATAGACAGGGTAAGCAATAGGTTAGACACATCTGAAGAGAAAATTTGTCATGTAATTAATGATGGAATATTGGTTAGAATCTGAGGAAGCTGCCTAGAACTCAAAATGAAGAGGTGAAAAAAATATACATAAAGAAATTAAAAGATATGGAGGAAAGAAAGCTTCAAGATTATTTCTGATAGGATTTGAATAAAGGCATTAAATAAAGGAAAAATGTGACAGAGGCAACATTTAAACAGATAATGGGAAGATTTTTAAATTGATATAGTCATGAATTATCAGATATAAGAAATACAATAAGTATTAACCATAACTCTTTAACTCCTAGAAATTTCATGATGAAAGTGCAAAATGACAAAGATTAAGAGAACATGTAAGAACAATCATAAAGAAGAGGCAAATAGGCTGAGTATGGTGGCTCACACCTGTAATCTCAGCACTTTGCAAGGCCAAGGTGGGCAGATCACTTGAGGTCAGGAGTTTGAGACCAGCCTAGCCAACGTGGTGAACCCCCGTCTCTATTAAAAATACAAAAATTAGCCAGGCCTGGTGGCAAATGCCTGTAATCCCAGCTACTTGGGAAGCTGAGGCACAAGAATGGCTTGAGGAGGAGGTTGCAGTGAGCCGAGTTCGTGCCACTGCCTTCCAACCTGGGCCACCAAGTGAGATGTCTCAAAAAAAAGCAAATTACAAGAGGAGAACTGCAGTTGAACTTTCATAAGTCTTTTCCACATGGATGTATAAGCCTTCTGACAATGGAATATCTTCAAAATTACTGATAGGATTGCTGGGCTAAAACACTATGTAAGTAACTAAACCATTACGCCTGAGTAAGAACAAATTAAAGACATATTTTCAAATATTCAGATATTTCAAAAGGATATATTTTCAAATTAAAGGAAGAAAGAAATTGAACACAGAATGACAGAGTGCGAGTCAAGAAGCAGTCATCAGCAAGAAAATGAGTAAACCCAAGGGCAAATATAAATAAATATTGACTTGTTAAGATCATATACTTTAATAATGAATTTCTATTACTAAATGCTAATATACTAAACATTACTAAAATAAGGTAGAACTAATATAATGAGGACTGAGTTAACAGATGGGAATGGGTAATGGAAGTAAAGCACTCAAAGTTTCCTGGATTCAGGAGGAGACTTAAAAACAAGATTTAAGGAATCAGTGAGAGAAAAGAAATATATAGTTTCTATACTGTTGAGGAAATAGGGAGATTTTGTTAATGTTTAATAGAGACAGGGAATGAAAGAAAAAGAGGCATGGCAAATACAAAGGGCAAGATAAGATAATAGAAATAAATCCAAATATATCAGCATGTACAGCAAATATAGCTTGTCTTTAAAATAAATCTTGTTAGAAGACTAGATTTTCAGGGCTTTAAAAACCCCAGTTGTTGTTCATAGAGATCTAAAATATAACACAGAATAATTGAGACTGAAGAGATTTTTTTTTAAATTTACCAGATGCATACTAAACAAAAGAAAGATTGTATAGTTTTGTGACTGTACAAGAAGATAGACTTCAAGGCAAAAAGCAGTATCAGATTTTTAAAATACTCACTGCATAAATACAAATAGAACAAGTTACCAGAAAGACAGAACAGTCCGAGAAAGAAGTAACAATCCCAGGTATATATATGAGATTATTTCTTTAAAATATATAGACATTTAAGAGAATTGCATGAAGAATCCACAGAGAGATAATCTTGATGGGAAATTTTAACATTTCTCAATACTTTTACATCAGAAAAGAATATCAGATATAGAATATTTGACAATTAGTAAATTTGACCTAATGGACGTGAATAATCACTGAATAATAATTACAAGACATGCACTCTTTTTAAGCAAACAAAACACTGATTAAAAAACTAGTCATGTGTTAAGCAGAACATGTCTCAAAAATACTAAGATTCAGAATTATTCTGATAACAATGAAATTAATTTAAAAACCAAAAATAGAACCACAAAGCCAAACTTAAAAACATACTTCTAAGTAGCTCCAACATAAAAAACAAATCATAAAAATGAAAAATATTTGGAACAGAACTCATAAAAATGCTACTTGTGAGATGAGGCTAATATGAACTTAGAATAAACATAAATGCATATATTAAAAATGAATTAAAAATGAATAAGCTAATTATATGAGTTTAAAAAAACAATCAAGGCCAGGCGTGGTGACTCATGCCATAATCCCAGCATTTTGGGAGGCCAAGGCAGGTGGATTACTGGAAGTCAGGACTTGAAGACCAGCCTGGCCAACATGGTGAAACCTCATCTATACTAAAAACAGAAACAGTTAGCCAGATACGGTAGCGCACACCTGTGATCCCAGCTACTCAGGAAGCTGAGGCAGGAGTATTGACTGAACCCAGGAGGTGGAGGTTGCAGTGAGCTGAGATTGTGCAGCTGTACTCCAGCCTGGGCTACAGAGCAAGACTCTGTCTCAATAAATAAATAAATAAATAAAGAGATAAATATCCCAAATGAAGAGATAAGAAAGATGGCAGAAATTAAGGAAATGAAAAACAACAGAGAGGATTAACAAAATGCAATAACATTTCTCGAAAACATTAAAAAGGTGAATAAATCTCTGGCAAAATTGATTGTGGAAAATGGTATAAAATGGCTAAATGATACATTCAAAAATGAGGAAATTATTTCATCAGGAAGGAAGACAAAACCCCCAAGTGACTAATAAACAGAAGAGAATATTCTTAGTCCTATTGGTAATAAGAATTGTAAACTCAAATAATAGTGAAATACCACTTCCCACCCATCAAAGTTGGCAAAAAATAAAAAGATTTAAAATACCAAGCTTGGTAAAGATGTATTAATATTATATCTGGAGTGCTCATATACCACAGGTATATATAGTATGTACAAATTGGAAAGCAGCTAGGCAACATTCAGTAAAGATGAAGATCTGTGCACCCAACAACCTAGCAGTTCCACTCCTTGAAGTGGTACTAGAGAAGCTGTCACATATGTGAGCAAGAAGACAAGACGTACAAGAATGTCCATCATGGCATTGTTTGTAAGGACAAGTGAAAAAAAGTGAAGGACATCACTAGGATAGTGGTTAAAGTGTGACAATTCAAGTAACAATATTTATATCAAGATGGTTAAGCATCAGAAGCATTGAACTTTTGGGGAAGAAAGTTGCAGAATAATATGTATGATATATTCATATGAAGTTTGGAAACATGCAAAAAGTACTTGATGTTTATCGATTTTCTTGTATGTGGTACACATTTCAAAACGTCATGGAAATAATATAATAAACAGAAAAGTCATCATGGTGTTTATCTCTGAGAAGAGAAAGGAAATTGTCTTGGGTGAGTATGTATAGGCATTAATTGAATCTGTCCTTTTTTAAAAAAGACACTTTAAAGCATATGTATCTCTAAGAAATTACCATTCAACAAAGCCGAATGATGAATATATACATGTTAGTGTATTATTGTACTTTTCTTTATGTTGGAGATATTTCATAATATTTTAAGATAATGCTGTGTAAAATAGCTTTATGAAAGAATAGGGGAACTTTGAACTAAGTTATTTTTCTAGAGTAAGAGAAAGGACTTCTTTTTAGAACAAATACAGTTGGACCGTTATTGTTTACCTCTCAACACCCCCACCTCCAACCCCTTAACCCTTACCCCCAAAAACACCCACACAATTATACCTTTTAACACAAGGAAACTGAAACCTTTAAGTGATTACCAAAAAATAAAAAAAAAAAACCCTTATGGGAGCAACTGACTTTCATTTGTAAACCTTAGACATATGCAAGGGAAAAAGTAAATTTGACTGTCTGTAAGATGAGGAAAGACACAAGGAAAATTTAGTGTAGCAAGAACCACAAGTATCACAAGATACTGGCCTCAATCTCTCCCATTAAGGCTTAATGTTTTTATTCTTCAAAATAGAAATAACTTTATTCTTTTTTCTGATTTAAAATAATGTATATTCTTTTAAAAAACTCAACACTATAAAATAAAATAACCTATCATTTCACCATCCTGTAATAATCACTGTAAATATTTTAATATATATTTTAATTCATATATATATATAATGTTTACCCACAGAATCACAGTCTACATTTTTGCTTTTAAATTGCTCTTTATGTTATATCTTAGAAATGTTATATCTTAGGTTCCCATGTTAAGAAAAAAATCTGTCACGTCTCTTTTAATGTCTCATAGTATTATCCTATATAGTCATGCCATAATATATTTTAACCAAACCGCTTATATGCAATACTGCAGTGAACACAATGCATATACATCTTTGAGTACTTCTCCATTTGTTTCCTTGAGATACGTTCCTTGCTAGACCAAAGGAATGCATAAAAAATAGTCAGCCTTTTGCTACTGTATCAGTAAGAGTTCTCCAGAAAGGCCAGCAGGCTGGAACTCCTGCAGAAGCTGGTGCTGCCTCAGCAGAAGCTGAGGGAAAATGTCTTCTTTTTCAGAAAACCTTAGTTTTTGCTCTTAGGGCCTTCAGCTGCTTATATGAGACCCACCCACATATCGACGATAATCTCCTTTACTTAAAGTCAACTGATTGTAGATGTTCACCATTTCTACGAAGTACTTTCCCAGCCACATTTAAATTAGCGTTTGATTAAATAACTGGATACTATAGCCTAGTCATGTTAACACGTTAAAAAAGTGAATAAACCTCTGACAAAATTGATTATAGAGAAGGGTACAAATGATGAAATGATATATTAGAAAAACAGCAAACTATTTGATTAGGAAACTCACAGAAAAGAAAACTTCAAATGTTTATCGAATATAACGGAAAATTCTCAGTCCTATTGTGATAGGAATTGTAAACTCAAATAACAGTGAAAGTATTTCCCACTCATCAAAATTGGCAAAAAAAAAAAAAAAAAAGATTAAACATAACCACGCTTGGCAAAAATGTGTTACATCTTTGTACCTATGTACTGTGATGTACGTAAAACGTAAGTATATCATAGAACCTGTTGCCAGATTGCCTTCCAGAAAGTCCACACCAGTTTTCATTCTGTCACCCACACTGTGTACTAGTAACCATTTTCATTTTTGCTTATCTAATCAGCATTTTTTCTAATGAAATGTTATCTTTGTGTTAATTTTCAGTTTTAAATCCACAATTTGTCATGCAACTTAGCAGTCTCTAACATGGTAATTTTCACAATGACCTGCGCCTTTTACTTTGTAGAAGAGCAGAGAGGAGCAGAGAAAAGAGCTCCTCTTTTCTCAGAACAGAAAATATATTTTCTCCTTTTAAAAGTTACAATGTTGATCCCTGCATCTTACACCTGTCACTTCCTCAAACCTCTCTTTTTGGCCTCAGGTACAGAGAGTGGATGTGAAAATAAAAAAGAGTAGTCATCTTTTGCCCGTTTTTCCAACATGTGTTCTGAGTTTTCCCTGTTGATTTATAGTTCTTTATATTTCTGGTGTGAGTTATTGATTGAATATATGTTTTGCATGCATCTTCTCTTAGTCTGTTGCTTTGCCTTTTTTACTTTCTTCATGATACCCTTTAAATGAAGAGAATACCTTGATTTTAATGTAGCCCATATTTTCTCTGTCTTTCATAATTAGTTTATTTTGGGGTCCTATTGAAGTAATCACTGTCTATTGAAAGGTACTATGTTTCCTTAGTTTCATTTTATGTTTAAAAACAGAAAAAGGAAATAATTAACATTAACCAAGCCCAGGTAACAGACAGAGACCTTTTCTCTATAAATATTTTTTAAAAATTGGCTGGGCATGGTAGATGTGCCTGTGGTCCAGCTATTCAGGAGGCTGAGTGGGAGGATCACTGGATCACCAAAGGTGGAGGCTGCAATGAGCCATAATCGTGCCACTGTCCTCCAGCCTGGGTGACGATGTGAGAACCTGTCTCAAAAAAGAAAAAAAGAAAAAAAATACACTAACCAAACTATCTTCCATGGACCCTGTGTTGCAGGATATTTTGCAATTTAGATGTATATCCACCAAACAGCCTTTTCTCCTGCTGGGAACAGAACCTCCCTCTATCTCTGTTGGGGGACTTTGGAAAGAGCCTGCCTGTTGTAGCATCTGACGTCTTTGCTGCATACATGAGCTCTTGACCCAAACTGGGCTAATGAAACATTCCCCATTTACAGTATTTTGTTCAAATATGGCCTTGTGATCCAAGCAGACACACTCAGGGAGGTGACTTCAGAGCAGCTATGGTTCTAGTAAGACTTTAGCACAAGGAAATGAGGCCAATTCCAAAAGACAAGAAGAATTAAGAGGCAGACCAGATCTTGGCAATGTTGTCACTGGCTGCCCAAAATTTACTCCATCCTGGCCCTGCCTGAGGTTTTCATTATGTGGCCACTAAATTCTCAACTTTTAGTGAGATTTATTTTAATTTAATTTAATTAATTAATTAATTTATTTATTTATTCATTTATTTATTTTTGAGATGGAGTCTCGCTCTGTCGTCCAGGCTGGGGTGCAATGGCGCGATCTCGTCTCACTACAACCTCAGCCTCCCAGGTTCAAGCAATTCTTCTACCTCAGCCTCCAGAGTTGCTGGGACTACTGGTGTGTGCCACCACGCCTGGCTAATTTTTTGTATTTTTAATAGAGATGGGGTTTCACCGTGTTAGACACGATGGTCTCGATTTCCTGACCTCGTGATCTGCCCGCCTCAGCATCCCAAAGTGCTGGGATTACAGGCGTGAGATCTTTTTTTACTTTGTTAAAAGTCTTGATATAAGTATGCTTGAAAATGTGGTCCCATGTTTATGTAAATCTAGGACTACTCCTAATCTTACTCTTAGAGATTTATAGCCTACGTTAGCATATTAAAAGCTGTAAGAAACCATGAAGTGAAAGAAGGCTATTTATCTTCTTAATAGGCTAATGATCCCAAACGTATCAACATGAATACTTATTTATGGTGCTTCTATTAATATAGAAGCTTGAGCACCAAATCATTGTCTTGGGGAATGCTGGATCATAGGCATAGAAGACCCAACAAATGCAAGCTGACAAACGAAAGGTGCTTGAATCTCTGAGCTAGGTTTTGAAAAATGCTAAAATTTAATAATTTATGTGCAAATTATGTTATATTTTTAATTGGGAAAAGAGTATTTTGATAAAAAAACGAAAGTTAAATTTGGTAAATTTAATGTGACTAATCTGTAAACTTTTTTTTTCTCGAGCAGGTTAGCCAATATACCTTTGCTATGTGCAGTTATAGAGAAAAGAAGTCTGAACCACAAGAATTAATGCAGCTTGAAGGCTATACTGTGGATTATACCGATCCCCACCCAGGTAAATCTTAATTGAATCACTTTTCCTGCCATGTATGTATGCATGGAATTCTTATAAATATCCTTTGTCTGTTCTACAATTTAAACCCCTCTCGATGAATAGGGTGCATATTTCACTTATATACCTGGGCAAGACTTTATGAGATTCAAATTATCTCTTTTGGAGGGCTTGTATTTTTAGCCATATTTCATCATATTTGTTATTATTTTAGCGCAGGATTGAAATGTGTAAAATTCACTGTAATGGAATAATTAGGTGAGATATTACAATGTTTTCAGAAACTTCTTTGCGGGAAAGCAAAAGTTATAGCAGAAATAGGCAAAGAAATGGCAAATGAATTATTATATTATAACTACTAATTTTCTCCCCAACAATACATGCTTGTACTTCTCTCTCTCCCTTCATATTAATACTGGAAAGAGTATTGGACACCTGATATTTAAAAAATTGAATGAATGAATATTAATGACATTAATATCTAAGATCAAGAAATGTAGACATTAATAAACATAATGATTAAATATTGGTGAATAGAGATTAAGAAATAGAAATTTATGACTATATTAACTAATTGTTCACTTAAAATGCAAAATATTATGTGAAAGAATTTTATAAAAGATAAAATACATGCAATATGAAATATCATTTTTGTCTTAATCATTATATATTTTTCCCATGTATAGAATGGCAACTATGCCAACAGATAAAACTTCTTTCTCTGGCATGAAATATCAGATTGTGCTATGCATTTCCATGGAGTGTGTTTATATGTCTTGTAGAATGATACTCTGTCATGGACTGTTTCCCTAGGTTATTTTTTATTTCTGAGGTAATATGGGAGCTTAACCCTTTTTGTTATTGTTTTTCTTCAAATCTTTGATTGTGGATTTGATCCTTTAAACTAAATATTCTTTAAAACATTTAACTGCTAATATCAAAGCCATTCTTTTCCATGAGGTCAGTTAGTGAATGAGACGAAAATCTGCCAATCCTATAAATTTTTAATGATGTCTTTTTGTTTCCTCCACAGGCCTTCAGGGTGGTTGTATGTTCTTTAATGCTGTTAAAGAAGGAGATACTGTAATCTTTGCCAGTGATGATGAACAGGACAGAATATTATGGGTTCAAGCCATGTATAGGGCCACAGGTCAATCATATAAACCAGTTCCTGCAATTCAAACCCAGAAACTGAATCCTAAAGGAGGAACTCTCCATGCAGATGCTCAGCTTTGTAAGTTTTGTTAAAAAATAATTTGATTATCAATTAATAGCCTTAATAAGATATAAAATTGAGGCAAATGTATTCAGTATTATAGTTTACATCATTAATTGATTCCTAATTAAATGAAAATAGTTCATATTAGTAGTCACATAATCACTTATCTAATTTTTCACATAAATCTGGAGTAAATGGTACGTGTGGTTTCCAATCATGGATTTGTCAAGCATTAGGGTATTTCTAGAAATCTCAAGAGCACATAAGAAAATTCTCCAAAACTTCTCAAAGGAAAATTTAATTTAGTTTATTGTGATTTTTGACTTAAGTCTCCTATAGATATGGAAAAAGTATTGCAAAATCAAATTTGCTTTGATAGGATTTCAGAATACCAAAATGATGAACCATTACCTTCTAGAATTGTTCTTAATACCCCAGAAGGATAATAGGTCTATTTTTTTGTTGTAGATTGATAAAAATAATAAGTCATAAAGCCAACTTTTTTCCCCTTGTACCTTAAAGACATGTCACTTTTTGAATGCTACCTTAAGTTGTTAAGAACTAAATTTTTAATTTTAAATGACTGATGCTTAATAATTATGGAATAATGGTCAAAACATCTTCAAACCTAGCTTTGATAATCACTAAACCAAGTGTTTTAACTTGTTGTACTCCTTTACAAAGCTTATCCTGTTTTACCTGTAATAAATATTTGTCTTTAACTTTCAGCTCAACTTGTGGCTTTTTATTCTTGAGATTCTTCTCAAAGGGAATAACATCTTGACATGCATTATTTTCTTCTGCTTTTCATGCATCAAGTAACTATTCTCTTCTCTTTTTAGATACCCTTCAGTATCATTTCTGGGCATCCTAAACAAAGGCACTTTAGTTCAAATAATTAAATGTGAACCATGAGCTTTTTATTTCTTTATTTTAGAAACCACAGACCATACTCATAGATTATCGTAATTATTTTGGGGCATATCTTTTATATGTAGTGAAAACTATTTAGGAATATTATAAATTTTTTCATTGATTTAAAATTTCTTCTTTAAAATTAGTAGCATTGTCATCTTAAAAGGTAAAATAAAATAAAAAGAGCACATTCTGATGTTTTCACTGTATTTGAAAATTTAACTCGCTGCTGCTGCCTTCCTCTCACCCTCTGGGTAATACACATAGAGTATGGCACAGCAGATAAGAGTGTTTCATCAGAGCTAAGGTGTACAGAAGTGTAACTTTATTTTTCTACAATTGAACATATCTTAAATTTTAATTTCTAATGTTGCCAAAAAACTTTAACTCGCTAATTCAAAACAACTGAGTCACAGATTATAATTCAATTAATTCAAGATTCTTCCCCCTACTCTTCTTCCATGTGATCCATAGTAAATTAAGTTTCAGAGGGATTGCATAAAACTGTGATATCATTGAATGTAACATCTAGCCTAAGACTATTCTCTGTTCACATGGGCTTAGGCATGACTTCTGTCATTGATTTCATTACTTATGTGCTGGTATGCACTGCTCGTCACCATGGACCTGCCAGGGCACCTGGCAATGAAGTCCATGTAGTCTGTGTCCTCCTTGGATCAACTCCAGACACCTATGAATTCCTTACATCATTTTCATCAGATTCTTGCCACAGTGGTACATAGTAACTTGTTGGGTATTCCCCAGCTATGCACAGGGGTGCTCACTCAGGCGTTTCTCTTGCAGCACAGCTCTTATCCACTGCTTCTTTCCTACTTCAAGTGCCAAATTGGGTATTTATCCCTGGACTGTGCCTGCATTGGGCATCAAAGTATAAGACTCCCTCAACCCCGGGTAGAACTTTTTTCCTCTGGAGCTCTGTTCATTGCTCACCCCCAGCACAACATTAACTCAAGTCAAATCTCTTCCCAAAACCATTTTCTTCCATCCAGCTGATCTATTTTTTTCCCTCCGAGTTTTGATTCTTGTTGTTGAAAACCAAGTTTTTATAAATTTGTTTCTTACCTCTCCATAGGCCAGTCTCTGTCCCTTCCCCTATAAGCTACAGTTCTACAGCATTTAATGTGAATTTCCTGTGTTTTTCATTTTGCAAATTTGCATTTTGTATGTGTGCATTTAGCGTCAATCTCATAAATGGTTTTGTATTCTTTGTCATATTCAGTCTTACTGTTTTTGTTCATCTCTATGTTTTTAAAATTTATCCATGTTTTTATGAATACATCTAATCTCATTCTTCTGATTACTGCATACCATGTAAGTGGGCTTCTGTCTTATGTTACCTGGTCTACTGCACATTTTATTTCTATTCACTCCTCCAGAGATGGAAACATAGAATGCCTCCAGATCCATACCTGTGTAATGTTCAGTTGTCCCAGCCATGACTATGAAATATCCTTTCATTTATTCAAATCTGAGTCCTTTACATTTTAATAATTTTCCATAGAGCTCTTTTTATTCTTGGTTAAGCTAATTTCTAAGCCTTTCATACTTTCCTTGCTATTGCATCTTATATTTTTTATTATATTTTCTAATTGACTATTGCTCATATAGAGAAATGCTATTTTCATGTGCTTTTTTGCTATCCATATTTATTCTTTGGTTATGTATCTCTGCACATACCTTGCCTAATTTGTAATTAGGCTATTTTCTTATTGGGTTTTGAGAGGTCTTTATACAGGCATACCTAGGAGATATTGTGGGTTCAGTTCCAGACCACTGCAATAAGATGAATATCTCAATAAAGTGAGTCACACAAATTCTTTGGTTTCCCAGTGTGTATAAAAGTTATGTTTGGCCGGCGCAGTGGCTCAAGCCTGTAATCCTAGCACTTTGGGAGGTCGAGGTGGGGGGGATCTCTTCAGTTCAGGAGTTCGAGACCAGACTGGGCAACATGATGAAACCCTGTATCTACAAAAAATGCAAAATTAGCTGAGCATGGTGGTACGTGGCTGTAGTCCCAGCACTTGGGAGGCTTGAAGTAGGAGAACTGCTTGAACCCGAGGGGTGGAGGTTGCAGTGAAATAGCGCCACTGCACTCCAGCCTGGGCGATAGAGTGAAACCCTGTCTCAAAAAAAAAAAAAAAAAAAAAAGTTATGTTTATACTACACTGTAGTGTATTAAGCATGCACTAGCATCATGTCTAAAACATAATTTTAAAATTCTTTATTGCTAAAAATAATCACCTGAGACTTCAGTGATTATAGTATTTTTGCTGGTAGAGGGTCTTGCCTCAACATTGATGGCTGCTGACCGATCAGGTTGCTGGTTGTTGAAGGTTGGTGTGGATGTGGCAATTTCTTAAAATAAGACAAGGATGAAGTTTGCTGCAGTGACTGATTCTTTCACGAAAGATTTTCTGGTAGCATGTGATGCTGTTTGCTATCATTTTGCCCAAAGTAGAACTTCTTTGAAAATTGGAGTCAATCCTCTAAAACTTTACCTCTGCTTTACGAACTAAGTTTATGTAATATCCTAAATCATTTGTTGTCCTTTCAACAATGTTCACAGCATCTTCACCAGAAGTAGATTCCATCTCAAAAATCACTTTCTTTGCTTCACCCAAAGGAACCAACTTCTTATCTGTTCAAGTTTTATCATGAGATTGCAGCAATTCAGTCACATCTTCAGGCTGCACTTTTAATTCTGGTTCTTTTGCTATTTTCATGACATCTGCAGTGACTTCCTCCACTCAAGTCTTCAATCCCTTAAAGTTATCCCTGAGGGTTGGAATCAACTTCCTCCAAACTCCTGTAAATGTTGATATTTTTACCTCCGCCCAAGAATCACAAATGTTCTTAATGGCATTTGGAATGATGAATCCTTTCCAGGTTTTCAATTTACTTTTCCCAGATGTCTCATAGGAATTACTATGTATGGCAGCTATAGCCTTATAAAATGTATTTCTTAAATAATAAGACTTGAAAGTTGAAATTACTCCTTGATCTGTGGGCTGCAGAATGGATGTTGGGTTAGCAAGCATGAAAACAACATTAATCTCCTTGTACATCTCCAGCAGAGCTCTTGAGCAACTAGATGCTATGTCAGTGAGCAATAATGCTTCCAACAGATTCTTTTGTTCTAGCATCAGGCCTCAGCAGTGGACTTAAAATATTCAGTAAACTATGCTGTAAACAGATGCACCATCATCTGGGCTTGTTCTTTCAGTTATAGAGCACAGAACAGGGTTGATGTAGCATAGTTTTTAAGGGCTCTGGGATTTTCAAAATGGTTAATAAACATTGGCTTCAACTTAAAGTCACCAGCTGCATTAGCCACTAACAAGAGAGCCTGTACTCTGAAGCTTTGAAGCCAAGCATTGACTTCTCTCTAACTGCGAAAGTCCTGGATGGCATCTTCTTCCAATAGAAGATTATTTTGTCTACACTAAAAATCTGTTATTTAGCATAGCTAACTTCATCAATGATCTTAGCTGGATCTTTTGGATAACTTATTGCCATTTCTGCATCAACCCTTGCTGTTTCACCTTGTACTTTTATGTAATAGAGATGGCTTCTTTTCCTTAACCCTAATGAGCTGACCTCTGCTGGCTTCACAGTTTGCAGAGGCTTCTTCACCTCTCTCAGCTGTCATAGAATCGAAGAAAGGCAGGGCCTTGCTCTGGATTAGGCTTTGGTTTAAGGGAATATTGTGGCTGGTTTGATCTATCCAGACCATTCAAACTTTCTTCATATCAGCAATAAGGCTGTTTTGCTTTCTTATTATTTGTGTGTTCACTGGAGTAGCAACTTTAATTTACTGCAACAACTTTTCCTTTGCATTCACAACTTAGCTACTTGGTGCAAAAGGCCTCGCTTTCAGCCTATCTTGGCTTTTGACATGCCTTGCTCACTAAGCATGATCATTTGTAGCTTTTAATTTAAAGTGAGGGAGATGGGATTCTTTCATTCATTTGAACACTTAGAGATCATTTCAGGTTGTTAGTTAGCCTAATTTTAATATTGTTGTGTGTCAGGAAATAGGGAGGCCCAAGAAAAGGGAGAGAGATGGGGAACAGTCAGAACACATATAACATTTATTAAGTTTACCATCTTATATGGGTGTAGTTTGTGGCACCCCAAAACAATTACAATAATATCAAAGATCACTTTCCACAGATGACCGTGATAGATCTACTAATAATGAAAAAGTTGGAAATACTGTGAGAATTACCATAACATGAAACAGTCATGATATGAGCACGTCATGATATGAGCACGTGTTGTTAAAAAAGTGACACCATGGACTTGCTTGACACAGGGTTGCCACGAACTTTCAATTTATGAAAAACACATCTGCAAAGCACAATAAAATGAAGTTTCCCTGTGTGTTCTGGATACAAGATGTTTGTCAGATACGTGATTTGCAAATATTTTCTCCTAATCTATGGCTTGTCTTTTCACATCTCTTAATAGTGACTTTCAGAAAAAAAAAAAAAGAAATTCTTAATTTTGATGAAGTCCATTTTATCAATTTTTTTCATAGTTGTGCTTTTGATGTTATAACTAAAGGATCTTTGCCTAACCCAAATTGCAAACATTTTCTCCTTTGCTTTCTTCTAGAAATTTTACAATTTTGGCGTTTACATTTTACAACCATTTTCAGTTAATTTTTATATATGGTGAGAGGTATCCATCAGTATTTCTGGATGGCATATGGATGTCCAGTTGTTCTAACACAAAGAGTTGAAGAGATTATCGTACCCTGAATTGCCCTTGCATATTTGTGAAAAATCAATTAACTACATATGAGTTTATTTCTGGGCTATCCTTTCTTTGGTCAGTTTATCTATCTTAATATTATTACCACACTGTCTTGATTACTGTAGCTTGGTAAATCTTACAGTTAGGTAGTCCAAGTCCTCCAAATTGATTTCTCTTATTCAAAAGTATTTTGGCTATTCTATGTCCTTTGCATTTCTCTATGAATTTTTAAAATAAGTTTATTCACTTTTAATTGACAAATAATTGTTTATATATATGGGGTACAATGTAAATTTTTAAAACATCTTGACATTCCTTGCTGGAGATTTTACTGGGAATGCCTTCAATCTATAGGTCAGTCCTTGGAAAATTTTGGAAAACTGACTTCTTAATATTGAGTCTTCCAATCTGTGAATACCATGTATCACTTCATTTGTTTAGGTAGTCTTTAGTTTCTCTTTGGGATGTTTGTAGTTTTCAGTGAACAGATCTAGCACATCTTTTGTCAGATTTATTTCTAGGTATTTCATCTTTGTTGCTTTAGTAAATGGAATTTTTTATTTCAGTCCAATTGTTTTGTTATCTTTGTGATTGCTTTAGAATTTAAAGTATACCCTTTAAATTTATTATATATCTTCATGTATAGTATGCACACTTTACAATAGTAAACTTCTATTTCTCCTCTCTTGGCTTTTGCACTATTCTTGTCATATATTTTACTTCTATATATGTGGTAAATCCCACAATACATTGCTATTATGATTATTGCCTTAGTCAATATCTTTTAAATAAATTAAAAGTGAAAGAAAAATGTTATGTACATGTCCATTTTGTACATGTCCATTATGTACATGTTATGTACATGTACATTACCATTTCCAGTGCCTTTCATCATCTAATATAGATATTTTCACTTCTTGGAGGACCTCCTTTGACTTTTCTTGTAGTGCAGATCTGCTGGTAATGAATACTTTTAGCTTCTTTATATACGAAAAAAAGTATTTATTTTACCCTCATTTTGAAGATATTTTTCTTTTAGTACTTTAAGGTGTTGCTCCACTTTCTTCTAGCTTGCATTTGTTTTTCCAATGAGAAATGTGCTGCTATTTTGGTTTTTTCCTCTATAAATAATGTCCTTTTTTCCTCTAGCTGCTTTAAAGATTTTTCTCTTTAACACTGTTTTTGAGCAATTTGATTATGATGTGCCTTGGTATAGTTTTCTTCATAAAAATGCTTGTTCTGAGACACAGTTAAGTTACTTGGAAACAATTCAATCCTCTCAAGCTTTGCTTTCAAGTTTTGTTAGGGAAGACCAAGCAGTGTTTAGTCCAGGATGCATTTTCCCCATTTCTGGACCAACATCTTTCTTAATACTCTAACTGATAACCTGTGAATTATGAGCTTTTATATTCTTGCTGCTGAAAAGCAGTGCTATTCTAGGCTGTGTGAGTTTGGGGCACTGTCCTCTCGAATCCTTTAGATTGCTTCTTTCCCTTTCTACACATGCATGAGCTGATGGGTAGTCAGCTGAATTCTTGGGGGAGGCCTTCTGTAGATCTTGAGAGTCTCTTGCTGGGCAGCTCTCTTCTCTCCAGTACTCTTTCCTACAAACTCTAGTTACTATCACCCTTCTGAACTGTCAGTTCCATCTTTTGAACTCAGGGAGACCACTGGGCTTTTCCTGGGTTCCTGTTGCTTGTGCCATGGGCTATAGAGTTTCTCCTGGCAGTAACCTGGAGTGACTGTAAGGCTCACCTTGTTTCCCGTCCCTCAGGAATCACGTTGCCCAACGTGCAGCGTTTAATAAACTTTTTGTAAATTTTTTTAGAATACTTAATTCAGGTAGGAGGTTAAGTTTATTCTCAATTATGCCATCATGACCAGAAGCAGAATTTTTTGTAAGTTAAAGCATGGTTTCTCAATTTCAACACTATTGACATTTTGGGCTAGATAATTATTTGTTTTGGGGCAGGGAGTGGAGTAAGGAACTTTTCCTGTGCGTTATGTAATGTTTTACAGCACCCCTGTCCTCTACCCACTAGGTATCAATAGTCTCCCACCTGGTCCCAGGTCAGACAACCAAAAATATCTCTGGACATTGCCAAATGTCCCAGAGGGTAGGGTTGCGGTTGGTGAGGAATCACCCCCAGTTGAGAACCACAGAATTACAGTGACTTAATAACTATTTTTTTTTAATCGCCATCCTCCTTCACTTGTGTTCCCATATTTTTTCTTAACATCCTGAGTGCAAGGAATGCCCGAGGAATGTGTTGAGCTCGTGGCTATTGTTGCTTGCACATAATGGCAAGAAAAGCAGGTAGGAACCACTAGCATAGAACTTTAAGACTGTGGCTGAATAATACAGAATTTTTTTAGACAGAGTCTGCCTCTGGAGAGAGAGGAAGTGCAGTGGTGCCATCTCGCCTCACTGAACCTCTGCCTCCCAGGTTCAAGCCATTCTCGTGCCTCAGCCTCCCAAGTAGCCTCCCAAGTAATCTCAGCAGCCGGGATTACAGGTGTGTGCCACCACACCCACCTAATTTTTGTATTTTTAGTAGAGACAGAGTTTCTCCATGTTGGCCAGGCTAGTCTCAAACTCCTGACCTCAGGTGATCTGCCAGCCTTGGCCTGCCAAAGTGCTGGGATTACAGGCATGAGCCACTGCACCTGCCTGTAACAAATAATAACAAAACCTTTCTATTATTCGATATCAATTTATTGTCAAGGCAGGACTGATCAGGCTATGGGATTCCCATGCCTCAGCCTCCCAAGTAGCTGGGATTACAGGTGTATGCTACCACACCTGCCTAATTTTTGTCTTTTTAATAGAGATGGGGTTTCTCCACGTTGGCCAGGCTGGTCTTGAACTCCTGACCTCAGGTTATCTGCCCACCTCAGCTCCCGAAGTGCTGGGATTACAGGCATGAGCCACAGCGCCCAGCCCTATCATCTGTTTCTAACAAAACCTTTCTGTTATTTGATATCAATTTATTGTCAAGGCAGAATTGATCAGGCTATGAGAACTGAATTTACTTGTTATAACTAAAAAGGGAAACTGTTTCAATTTGTTAACAACAACTGACTTGTATTCCAGGCTGCTAGTAAAGTTTTAAATCAGGGCAGACCTCTGCTGACGTGAACCTGGGAGGCAGAGCTTGCAGTGAGCCACGTTCGCACCACTGCACTCCAGCCTGGGCAACAGAGCAAGACTCCGTCAAAAAAAAAAAAAAAAAAAAAAAGAATGAAGAAAGAAAATGTTCTACCTCATCAGAATGAGGGTAGTGACCCTGAACTATCAGAGAAATGCCATGAATTCCTCCAGAGTTCCTCCAGAGAGTAGTTTCATCCATAGTATTTTCCTCCCTCCATTGACTTACATAATCAATTTTTGTTTTCTTTCCTGATGGTCTTTTAGAAAAACAACTTTTAAAATCATGAGTAGAAATTGAGAAAATAAAAAATTAAATGTCTAGTTGTATAAGTATATAGTTCCCAACCCATTTAAATATGCTTTGTTTCTCATTTCTTTGCTGACCTGTAGCTGGTAAAGGTAAGTATTTTCATGATTTTTAAAATTAGATGTTTTAAAAAATTTTTAATGATACTATGTTTGAGGAATATCATGATCTTGTTTACAGGATCAATCCCCTACTTTCTAGCCAAACCCAGAATATTTAAGTTAGCTTTATTGATTACAAAACAAAAAATGTCTATCGCAACAAAAAAAGTAGAAACAACCTAATATCTACCATTCATACAGGCACAAGGGTAATAGCCACGAATGTGTTGTAATAACGTGCAAAACAAATGGTCAATATATGTTAAGTGGAAAAAATGCTAAGTTATACATGCGGTATTATTTTCACTACATAAAAAAACACCCAATTGATGAAGCAAAATATAGGTAGAATTACATCTAAAATATTCAGTGGATATGTTTTATCGGAGGCACTAGTTGCTACTTTATTTCTTCTATATCTTTTCTTTGAAGTATGTATTTTTATTTATTTTTCACAAACCCAGTGCTTTAGAATGAAGTATAAATCAGAAGCTTATTTTTTAAAAAACTAAGCATAACAATAACTAGGAAAAATAAAAAAAAAATTATAAAATCTAACTTACTGGAAGACAACCTTATCTTTTTGGGACATTACTAATATGTATTTATAGATTTCTCTAATAAGCAAATCTATTCCACTTCTTTTTTTCTTTGACTCTCTGGATATATAAAAATTCTAAGGGAAGAGAGTGAGCTGAAGGGGTGGGGAAGAGGCTGGTAACCAATTTTTTCACTTAAAATGTAACGTGCTAGAGTTGCCAGATTGATGGACATTCTTTGGTTAAACTGTACTTTGTTCTCTCCAACCAAAATGCAGTGCACACACCCTGGTTTTCACTGTCTCTCAGTTATATATGTAACATAATACAATGTGTGTGTCACATAATACAATATGAATAGTAGCATTTGTCTTCCAATAATAAATTAATATCAAAAATGAACCAGAAAAGCTGCCATCTGTTTATTTTTAAGCTAAGTATTTTTAAATTATTAAATTAAAATATAAACTAACATTTAATTTTGTGAACTTATTTTCATGATTGATCTAATATATTAAATTTCACACTTCATAGGGAAAGCATTTGTCTTTCTTTTACATTGAACATATTATTTCTAATAAATGTTCAATATTGGTTTACTTTGCTTATTTGTAATTCTAGGTTTCTGTGTTGATCAAAATTGTCATCATGCAAAAGTATTACTTACGTGTTATTGGCTGCAGAAAGCAAGATGTGTTAATTCATATATCAGGTTTTGAATCAATTTAACCAAAAGAAGCTAAGCAGTTATTTGGTCAATAATAAAGGTGTGAACAAACTCCTTTGCTTTTCAGCAGAAAGTATGTATACATAAAACATGGACATACTATTCAGGCTGATCTAGGTAAAATTTTAAAATATTAAACTCTTCCTATTAAAGCCTACATGGATGGTATAAAAAGAGAAGTGGCACCTACTTTGCTGTGCCACTTTTAACTTCCTATAAATTTTCAAGCTGTATGGGAGTTTTGAATTATAAGAAATGTATAATCAGATGTGAGTAGTGGTAAATGCAGCTACAGGTGAACTCCTAAACATAGGCCAGTTTTAAATGTAGGACAGTAAATTGTATTATATTTCAAAAGAGTCATTTGCTTCTTAGTTCAGCTCTGTTTTGCAGAGAGCAGTCTTGGCTGGCAGCACCCTTTTAGTCCTTTTGATACTAGAGTCCCACTCCCAGACACCAGAGTGACCTCAGAATGCTAAAAAATGGCCTCCTTTTTTCATCCAGAGTGCCCCTTTACCTTTTTCTTTCCCTTTTCCTTTTACATCCATGATTTCTCACAACACTAGGAGCAGCAACAAATGCAGTACCATAAGAATTTGTTGCAAAGAAAAAAGAAGTATTTTTAATATATATATTTTTATTATACTTTAAGTTCTAGGGTACATGTGCACATGCTGCTATAAAGACACATGCACACGTGTGTTTATTGTGGCACTATTCACAATAGCAAAAAAGAAGTATTTCAAATTTTTTTCAATCTCACATTCTCTCTGACTTAGATGCCTTTCCTAGGATTTGAATTCTTGGGCACTTAAGGGGCAGGTGGCGGTCAGTGCCTACCAAAAAGCCCCTCACTGATAGTCCTCACATCATTTTCTATGCCACCTATTTTCAAGTCTGTATTACCTATTTAAGTTGATACTGTCAGCCTACTTATCCTTTTCTCTTAACTTCCAACAGCTATTATCCTAATGAAAAAATTTAATTTTTAGGCTTGACTTACATAAAGCCTCTATAACTTCTTAAATCTATAGCTAATAATAATCTTTCTCAATTTGGGTTTCATTCCATCTACTGTTATCACACCTGGTGACAGTACCACCTAAAGACGCTCGAGCATACATCCAACTGTTGCCATAGAAACTCCACCAGTATCCTCAATTACCAATCCCACATCTGTAGTTAGTCCATAGGTTAATCATCACAATTTATGACAGTTTTGCAGTATACTGCTTAAGCTCATAGCTTGTTGGTTTGTTTTGATAGTTGTCATATTGTTTCAGAAGACAGATTGAACTAAAATTTTCCATTATCAGAGAAATCTGAGTAACACCATGAATAATTTTCTGTTTAAAACTAGTCACCATAATGTTGTGTTATAGTAACATTAATTGAAGATAATCCAGTATAACCCAATTTTAAAGCCTTGGATTTGGTAATTGACTAAAAAGCATGTTTTGCATTTGATATAGATGATGGCTGTGTCTCTCAAGAGTAACATATAGGTATGTTATACCTGTAGAAAGCTATGTGAAAATATATCTTTATAAAAATAAGAAACTAGATAATATCTTAATGATATCTGATTTTCTATTTCACATTAGTTCATGAGATAACTTTAAAGTGAAAGATGGCAGGGAGGAAATGGGGAGATGTGGGTCAAAGGATACAAACTAGCAGATGTGTAGGATGAACAAGTCTAGAGATCTAATGTACAACATGACAACTAGAATCCATACAATCGTACTGTTAGTGATTTTTGTTAAGTAGATTTTAGCTTCCCTGTCACAAAAAAAGTAGCTACGTGAGATGACAGATTTGCTAATTTGCATCTGTATTGTAACCATTTTACTGTCTATATGTATCCCTTAACATCATGTTGTAAAGCTTAAATATACATACACACAATTTTATTACTAAAAAAGCATTTCAGCCGTATTACATCTGTTTCTCTCCTCCTAGCTTTGATGCTATTGTTGCCTTACATTTCACTTTACAGTTTTTGGTTTTTTGTTTTTTGTTTTTTTTTTTTTGGTGGGGTCGGGGGTGGCGGGTGGGATGGGAATGGAGTCTCACTCTGTAGCCCAGGCTGGAGTGCAGTGGCGCAATCTCAGCTTACTGCAACCTTCGCCTCCTGGGTTCAAGCAGTTCTCCTGCCTCGGCCTCCCAAGTAGCTGGGATTACAGGCGCCTGCCACCATGTCCAGCTAATTTTTTGTGTTTTTTAGTAAGAGACGGGATTTCACCATGTTGGTCAGGCTGGTCTCGAACTCCTGGCCCCAGGTGATTCACCCACCTCGGCCTCCCAAAGTGCTGGGATTACAGGCATGAGCCATTGTGCCCGTCAGTTTTCAGTAATGTTATAAACACTTGTATACATTGCTATTATTTTGTTTAAAACAAGGGCCAGAGGGCCAGCAAACTGAAACTGAATGCCTGTTCTTGAAAATGAAGTTTTATTGAAACACAGCCTATCTACCTACCTCTCTCTCTCCCTCTCTCTCTCTCTCTCTCTCTCTCTCTCTTCTCTCTCTCCTCTCCTCTCCTCTCCTCTCCTCTCCTCTCCTCTCCTCTCCTCTCCCCTCCCCTCCCGCCCCCCTTCCCGCCACCCCATTTCATTCAGGGAGGTCAAGACTGTTACTTTTTTATTTATTTCTTCCATAAATTCATGGAAACTAAGACTATACTGCCACATGGTAATGTAGTTTTGCATGAAATGTTCTAAATGGTGCTGATCTGATGTAGAAAGAAAGTAAAAATGTTTGGTCTTCACAGCCTGTGTTTTAAAAATAGAATGATTTCTAAGAACACATTTCACTTTCATAAAATTACAATCCTGGAGAAATTGAAGGTTGTTGATTTTCTTAAATAAAAATTTTAATGGGTTTGTTTGCCTGTCTGTTTTTTCCGAGTAGAGTCTGTATTTGTGACTCAAAGTGCTATCATTAATATCATTTTTATCACCAATGGTAATTGTTTGTAAAGTAATTTTCCATTCATGTGTGTCATTTGGAAAGACTTGTTACCTTAGCAGATATATAGTTTGGAATTGTATTTCCTGAGAAAAGTACTTTATAAATTTACAAAAATATGATTTAATTATAGAAATGAACTATAGATCGTTTTTCAGAAACATTTTTTATTTAAAGTTTGTATGCCCATTTTTTAATTGCTTCTACAAATCTTTATAGTAAAAGAAAGATTTTTTTACTTTTTTCACAGGAAAAAGATAGGTCTTTTTCCTGTGAAATTTATCACTATCCTGTTCTCAACAGATTAACCATTAATGGGCATTATTTTTAACTCCTGTTGTAACCTTCTCTGGTGAAAGAAATAAGGTATAAAATTTAGCAGATGTTTTATAAAACTAGTAATTTAGTTTCATAAAAATGATACTAAAAGATTTTTTTGCTGAGATAAATGGAAAAATGAATATTCTAAGATACATCTTTTAAAATACAAAAGAATCTTCCAATTTTATAAAATGTGTGATTTGCAGTTTTAATATTCTGCCTCCTATTCATCTGATATTATTTCACATTACATTATCATATATTTAACTTTCTATTAAAAGACTCAGAAGAATAAAATGCAAAAGAAGTTCAATTGTATATTAGTTCAGGAAAAGCTGTTTTGTGTTCATCCAGTTAATTTATCACATGTAATGTATTTAATCATTCAGGTAATTATTAAATGTAAAGGTATAAGTATGATACTTTCTCCACGGATTATAACCTTATACCCTACACATCAATAAGCTGCCATTCATTGATTACTTGCTATATTCACCTTTTCCTATCTGTCATTGATGTGAGATGTACATTAGTTTGTGTATCATTTTTTAGTGTGATTCTGAAGACCCTTCAGCTTGAATTATGTAGTTCTTCCATCTACAAATATGGCTGAAAGTTGAACTTGACATGGATCAATAAGATCTGGGCTAAATATCTAAATGTGACTGATTATGTTAGCATCATGTCCACAGATCAATATTGAGTTTTATTATGAGTCTGACTCTATAATTGGGTTTAATCAATAAACTTTTGTCTCTTTTCCTTTATAATTTTAAGATTGTACTACATAGGTTTTACAAACTACACTTAGCTTACATTTAGGACTCTGCTTTTCTTATGATGACCAGAAAGAGATCTATCTGTGAATTTTAGGGAACAATGGAGTTTCAGTTTTACCATTGTGAGAAGAGTCCACTTTTATCTTGATAACTGATTGCTTGCTCAGTATGCGCTACGTTTCTAACAGAGCTAATGTAATAACACCCCAGCACTCCTTTGGGGTAGTGTGTGGCTTTTTCTCTCTATACTTAGTAAATAACTCACATTGAAGACTTTGACAAAACATACCATTAATGAAAGCAATCATAAAAGCTTGCCTTTTGATAAACCCGCAGGGTCTACAGGCGTTGAAAGATGCAATCTGTAAAGAACAATAAATTTGGGCCTTTGATTGAAGTGCCATTTGGGACGTTAAGCTTTGTCTGCATATTTGCGCAAACATGATGCTCCCTTTTTCCTGTCTCTTAAACTTGAAGCTTGAGAGCGCTCATTGCCATTTTTACATTAAGGATGGTCCCATTAAAAGCTCCATACAAAAAGAAGACTGGAAGTGATCCAGCTGAAGCATGTGTGTTCAATTCTGCCCTAGTTTGCCATTTGGAAAGCAGACTCCTAGGCATCATTGCTGTTTTTTATGAATAGATCTTCGTTCTTTTCTAGTCAATTCCATCAGTAAATGGAGATTTAAAATACAGCTTTTCTCAGAGTTGGAAAATAAGATTATTCTTCTGTTGGATATTAGAAATAGCTTTGAATGGAGATGGAATTACTGCATTCTGAATGATTTGTAGATTTTTTGCTGTTGTTTTTACTTAGGCTTCATAAAGTTTGCAATTTATGTTAATATGCTGAACTCTTGGCATCATATTTCATGTGATAAAAGGTAGTCTTCTGCTTGAGTCACGCATTTTGTATTCTTCACAACTTGTATGTCCATCATTAAGCCTGAAAAGTAAATATACTGTACATGCTTTCCTGAATTTACAGATGCAGATCGTTTTCAGAAACATGGTATGGATGAGTTTATTTCTGCAAACCCCTGCAAGCTTGATCATGCCTTCCTTTTTAGAATACTCCAGAGGCAGACTTTGGATCACAGACTGAATGATTCCTATTCTTGCTTGGTGAGTACAAGTCTATCTAGTCCCCTATAAGTTGGAATAAAAGATTTTAGATCCCCTATAAGTTGGAATAAAAGATTTTAGAAAGTGAGAAATACTTGTTATAAACCAGCATTTTATTCCTGACTCATTTAATAAGGGTAGTGGGAGTGAGGGATAAAGGATTCCAGTTGATTGCTTCCCAATTTGAAAATTATACACTTGAAGACCACTGCTGTGCCACTCAATAGACAGGAGAATAGACTCAAATAGATGCTAAACTGTGGTGTATCAGTCACTTTAAAGAACGCTCAGTGAAAATAGAAGGCTTTAAATAAAGATTTTTTAAAACCTCTGTTATAGGACGTACAGACATTTTAAGGTTGAAGTTCTGTTCCCCAGATGTTGACACCTCACATTTCTCTCTTTTGTTCTTAGAAGGACAACCTAAGTGGCAGGGGAAGGAAATAGTGGAATTAACAATATGACAGGAGCTATACATAACAAAGGAAAGTTTTGGTTTCATCTAGCCATCCAAAGTATAACTTGAATTCCTTGACAAAAGGAAAGGAGTGAATTAAATTGAGTAAACTGTTTCCTGGTATGTGTTGAAATTGTAGCCAACATTTGGGATATGAAGTATAATTTATTTAAAAGGAATGCTTGACACCTCAGAATATGGGGACTAAACTTTATAACCTAAAAATTATGTGTTTTTCCAAGCATTTACATTGTCAATAGCAATTCATCTGAAATTTTTGCAGCCAGAAAATGCCTATTTCTATCACTACTTTAATCTCTTGGACACTGAGCATAGTACAGGTTGACTATCCCTTATCCAAAATGCTTGGGACCAGAACTGTTTCAAATATTGAATTTTCTTCAGATTTTGGAATATTTGCATTATATGTACAAGGTGAGCATCCTTAATCCAAAAATCCAAAATCAATTTCCTTTGAGCTTTGTTAAAAGAAAAACCTTAGCCTAATTAAGTTTAACAGAGTTTAATTCATGAATTCTTGAATCAGGCAGCCTCCCAAGCCAGAGTAGGCTCGGAGACTCTGGCGCAGCCACGTGGTGGAAAAAGCTTTATAGACAGAAAAAGGAAAGTGACGTACAGAAAACAGAAGTAAGGTACAGAAACAGCCAGATTGATTACAGTTCAGCATTTGCCTTATTTGAACACAGTTTGAACAGTTGGCCACCTTTGATTGGCCAAAACTCAGTTATTGGCACAGTAGTAGACTACTGTGTATTTACAACTCCATTTAGTTTATAATTCACAATGTATAGAGAAACCTTTAGGCTGAACTTAAAATATGTAAGGAGGCAGCTTTAGGCTAAACTTGATTTAAAAGCATCATGCAGATGCTCAAATATTTTGGATTTTGGAGCTTCCCAGGTCTGGGACTTTTGGATTTGGGATGCTCAACCTGAAACTTCATGCAATAAAGTTACATTCTGTTTAAGATTTCAGACAAAATGCGCCCCCCCATTTTGTCTGAAATCAAAATGGGGATACTTCAGAGAGGAAGAAGTGAAACAATTTATTGCCACGCTGACACTAACAGTTCATTAATTCATTTATAGATTGTTTATTAAGTATAATTTAAACCTGATCCAACTCAAACTTTACAATCACATGGAGAGTAAAATATATCATCTCAAAATCCTATTCTATCTTTTCATGGACAAACACATAGAGTGAACATCAATAAGGGATAGTGTCCTCTCGGATTCCACTCAAAGACATTATTCAATTATCAAAAGCTGTTTTGATTTTGTTGTTGACCGCCAGTGTAATATGGAGTCTGAGGAGAATGCTACAAGGTCTTCCACTGCACCTAAAGGGGAGTGAGTGTGATTTGCCTAGAAAGTGTTTTGGAGGCAGATGACTGTGAATATAAATCATGGCTCAACAACTGATTTGCAGTGTAGTCTTGGACAATTCACTTAACATCCCTGAGCTTTAGCTTATTTATCTTCAACATGGAAAGCATATAAATACCACACCTGATGGTTCTTCTCTTACTCCTTTTCTTTTCTTCCTCCTTTCCTTTATTGCCTTCTCACCTTTTTCTCATTATTCTTTATTTCTCTTACATGATTACCCTGCCCCCTTTTAAAACTCTCTATACTCCCTTCTTTTCTTTTACTATCTTATAAATCCATATAATTCATCAAGATATTTTATAAGCCAGCTCCACCTAACCTGTCCTCCAGTTTTAGCCGCATCAACTGCCTGCTGTGTTCAGGTGGCATGCATGCACACACATACATTCTAACATCTTATTTCAGGAGGAACAGAAACTGCTAATATAAAGCATTAACTCTGTTATATTGTTCATAGGAAGACAAACAGAATGAGAAGAATATCCCAGATATTTAAGTTCCCAAATAGTACATGTATACTGCTGCTAAACTTAATGACATTTTCTTTTAGTTCACTTTATAAAACTTCTCCTGAGCAGGAAATTTCATCTATAATGTCGTCTTTTTTTAATTGATTCATAAAGAGACTGAGATTTTTGGAGTAACACTCTTTGTGTGTGATAATTTAGATCCTATGAATAAATTTGACTAATTTTGAATGACATTGGAGAGGCACAAGTTACCCATGCCTTGCTGTGACAGTAAAAAGAGAATAGCATTAGGTTGCCAGTGTCCCAAATCAGTTTCAAAATTGATGACATTAGCTCTTCATGAAACATACCACTAATAAAATAAATGTCAAGATACTTTCATGCAGCTTCTGCTTATAAGGCCTAAAAGTGCGTTCAGGAAAGCAAATCGTAGTATAGAAAGAAAAAACATGTATATCTATTCTTTTTTTATTTTGCAGGGATGGTTTAGCCCTGGCCAAGTCTTTGTGTTAGATGAGTACTGTGCCCGTTATGGTGTGAGAGGCTGTCACAGACATCTCTGCTACCTTGCAGAACTGATGGAACATTCAGAAAATGGTGCTGTCATTGACCCTACCCTGCTCCATTACAGCTTTGCATTCTGTGCCTCTCATGTGCACGGCAACAGGTATTTTTACTTGCAAATACAAAGTGAAATGTATGGGGTTGACTATGGAAAAGAGAGAAAAATGTGCTTTGCGATTATCACCCAGTAACAGATTGTAAATAGCAAACACTTCTTACAAGGAAAAAAAAAAAAACGACAGAGAAAAAAGTGTGCATCAATATGCTATTGATTTAGGTGGGCTACACTTTATGTTTCTTTTTGCTGGTAAAGCCACTCGAAAGAGAGAGAGAGAAAAAATATGAGATTAGAAACTGCCTTTTAGTTCTTACATACCACCTCGTAGTAAGTCTGAATAGCCTTAAGTATCCCTATGATTCCTATTGTAATGCATACCTGTGCCTGGGTAGGATGTGTTGATAGGTCTGTGTGTAACTAATGATCATTGCTTTTCCTCTGTGGAATTAATTTTCACTGATAAAACAAGATAGAAAATGGGTTTTATGTAGAGTCTCTTCTTAGCCACTTCCCTAATCCACACTTTAGGAACAAGTACTCTTGTTTTACCAAGATGCCATAAAAATTCCCTAATGTTGGCCTCCACAGTTGTCTATCTCTGGCCTTAAAAATCTGTCCATATCATGCCGCGTGTGGTGGCTTACACCTGTAATCTTAGCACTTTGAGAGGCCAAGGAGGGTGGATCACCTGAGGCCAGGAGTTTGAGACCAGCCTGGCCAACTGAGTGAAACCTCATCTCTATTAAAAAATATAAAAATTAGCTGGGCGTGGTGGTGCATGTCTGTAATCCCAGCTACTCAGGAGGCTGAGGTAAAAGAATCGCTTGAACCCGGGAGGCAGAGGTTGCAGTGAGCCAAGATCATGCCACTGCACTCCAGCCTAGGTAACAGAACAGGCTCTGTCTTAAAAAATAAAAATAAAAATAAAAAATAAATAAAAATCTGTCCATATCACTCCCCTTCTCTTAATCTTGCTCAATACATATTTGATGAATGAATGAATGACTTCATTATTTGTGTTAATGTCTCCTCCATTAATGGCCCGTTAACTTTTTATTCATCTTTTTCTTTTCCCTCCTATCCCCAATTTGTGAATATTAATATTCTCTTCCCATAGTGCCCCTTAACATTCTCTTTTTTACATTTCCATTGTTTATCCTAATTCTGGCCTTCATTTTTTTCTGGCCTATGTATGTGAATTTACCTCTCTACTACCTTTTTCTTTCTATAGTATTCTACCAATCAGTCAAAAAAATTGTAGAATAACTTTTACCACACTCTTCTTCAAAAAGCTTAAGTGATTTTTGATTATTAAATTAAAAATAGGTTCCAAGTGATAGCATCAACATTTTCCCATTACCATCCTCTTCCATCTGCCCATTCTTGTCTCCACAAAATTTTACCGCAAAAAATCTGTTTATTCTCCATGTTTTTCTTTTTTCCAGTTTTAAAAAGTCAAATATCACAAAACTCATCTTAGAAGACTTCAATTAACTCATTCAGACACTAAGAACTTTTTGTCTGTACTTATCTCATTACCTTTGTCATATATACTTATGTGCTAGATGTGTGTACGTGCACACACACACACACACAGACACACACCTGCTTCTGTTCCACTAGATCATATTTTAAAGGCAAAAATCAGTTCTCATTCACCTATTATCCTCCACGTACCTAAAACAGTGTGTTACATTTTGTAGGTACACAATAAATATCTGTTGAAGTCCCCAGTGCTGCCATTTCTCAGCCTACAATAAAATAAGATTGATCCTTGTCTCACAGTCTATTCAGGTTTTCACTTTATTTTGGAGCCCAGCCTTGATTTGAAATTAGGAGGATGTTGCTGATTTTAGTAGTTTTTTCCCCACTATCTCACACTCAACCCTCTGCACTTAGAAAATGGGGGGGTACAGGGGTCAGTCAGGGTGGCTAACTGTTGATAGGAGCTGTTTTACTAAAACTGTCTCGTCTCCTGACTCTGTCTCAATTCCTTCTGACTAGGGGATATCAAAAAATAGACATTCCAGCACTAGGCAGACCTCTAAAATGCAAGAGGATGAGAAGGTTTCAGTGAAACAAACAAACCCAAAGCAAACTGTATAATCAGAATATTTTATTCATCCACACAGAAAGGTAAAATTAAATTGGGAACCTAAGGTGGAAAATTCAGCTAATGTGCCCCCAAAATATATGTGTTTGAGACTCATTATAATGGAAAGTTACTGAGGCAACAAGGAGCTACTGCTGCTGCCTGGGAGGCAGCCTGATTTGACTCTACTGGTTGCCATAGTTACTTTTATTCTGTAAAACTATTGTTTTCTTTATAACGATACTCTGTAATGTGTAATTCAAGGTATGTTTATATGTTCATGCATATATTATCTTTAATATTGCATGTGAAATCCACTTTCCCAAAGTTTAAACTGTGTACACATTCAGGTATCTCTGGTAGTCTTTTAGAATCGAAATTTGAATCAGTCTCTGATTCAGCATTGAGGTGTCATATAGCTTAAGAAAAAGAAAGGAAGAAATATAGGGTTGAGGGAAATTTGAGCCTCAATTTAGGATAGAAATAATCCAAGATAAGCTGAAAGTTATGACGTTTCCTGTGACGTTTACAGTCCAGCAGATGTCATTCAGAAATACTATGCTGCCACAGTGAAAGACCAGAAAGAGGCAAAAGATCTTCACTTGAATCCCGGCTCTGAAATTTGCAAACTGACCCATGTTCAACAAATCACTTAACCTTTCTGAAACTCAGAGTTGTCATACATAAAAGGGGCAAATACTAATGTGAAGGTACTACATCATTATAAAATACTATCAGTATTGATTACTCTTACTATTCTAATATATTTTTCTTTGCCATTTAACCCAAGAGGATGTAAATTGTGAGATGAAGAAAAAAGTAAAAAGTATGTAGTTAGGACTGTACCTCATGCTAAATAGAAATATTTCAATGTGTATGTAATTATATTCCTAATTTCTTTGTTAATGGAATATTCAGGTTTTGGCAACCTCTCCTTGTGAGAATGTGCTTCTCTTATCCATGTCTGTAGCATCTGATATTTATAGAGACTTTTGTTTAAACATACTGTCAATGTCAAGTCTGGTTTTTCTACATTGTTTGCCGTGGTCTTATTTTATGATCATTTTTACATCTGTCAAGACACATATTCAAAGAGTCGTTTTGCTCATTACCTGAACTACCTCTGTCATAAATTCAAAAGGAGAAAAGATTTCCTTTTGTTATTGACTGAAGTGAAGGACAACAGTGCTGTCTGGATTTGAAATTTTTCAGGGAGCACATCCTATTGCACAGTGTTGAGCTCTCTAGGTGTGTTCTTTCTGTACAGATACATCTCTGAATAGCACTCTGAGTGTTTCAGAAATAAAAGAATAGAGTTAAACAGAAAAGGTCTGGCTGGTACTAAGACTGAGGAAGAGAGAGAAAAAGAAAGGAAGAAAGAAAAAGTGAGTCAAGGACAGAAACAGACCCACTCATGCAGGATGATAGCCACACACATCTCTGAATAACACAACCACTCATTCAGCCATAGTGCCGCTGAGGACTGACAGGAAGGAGAAAAGAGGCTTTCAGAGACAATGCTTCATAGGGCAAAGTTCTAGGTTGATATGTGTGGTTATACGTCTTGGTTTTGTAAGTCAGGCTGAGGGTGGAGAAACTGAAGCAGCAACACAAAATGGCTTTTATGTCCCAATTTAATGTAAGGCATACAGTGTATTCACTGACTCCTCTACAGTTTTCTAGGGCTGTCTTAGAGCTGCTGCATGCCTGACAAACGCCAGCTCAGATGTGCTTGCTTTCAAGTACAGGGCACAAGAGTACAACATGACTGTAGTTTTATATATAAAATAATCTCAATTTTCTATGGATTCCAGATTATATCACAAAGTTGTTAAGTAACCTTAATGGGCATCAGTCAAATCATCATATCATAATACCTCTGTCTTCACAGGTGCTAACATTTCCCCTTGACTGTCACTTCAGAAATTATGCCTCAAACTTCCAATCTGTAATTTTAGAGACAGTGTGCATTTTTTGAGAAACAACGTAGATAATTGCATCACGTAGGATCATCAAAAGTGTTCACTTAATTCTAGTTTTAGATATGTGACTATATAGAAATTAAGTATAAATGACACACACGTTGTAAATGGAGAGACTCACTTTTGGGGCAGGTGAGCAACCAGATGAAAGGTCATAAGCAAGGTTATCCTTAGGTAATGTACCTGATCTGACAGGTTTTATGCCATGTGCTAAATGTGCAAAGGCAGAAGGGATGGGTATTGGGGAGTATATTTCAAATATTACTGGAGGAGTTTTTTTATTTTATCAAAAACTGTAGAACAACCCTAAATCTACCTTAAGCAGACTTTCCTAGCAATATTTATACTCACCCAACCTCAAGTTCAATACTGAAGCAAGATAATTGTGCCTTTCAAAACAAAACAGACAAAACCAGAGAAAAAGAAAAGGGGAAGGGAAAGACTTGGTGTGTTGGAAATATCTCTGAGTGAGGAATCAGAGCATCTGTATTCCTGTTCTGGCTCCTCTACTGATGAACTACTTAACTTTGAGCAAATGGTTTTAATCTGTCTGAGCCTCAGCTTCTCCATGTGTACCTTGTGAGTAATAACATTAATGCTACCTACTCAATATGGTTCCTAAATAGGTCAAATAAAATTCTGTAAGTACTTTTTAAACGATGAAATATTGCTTAAATAGCATGTAGTAATTTTTTTATGCAGTGTATTAGTTAAATGAGCTTTTGGGGATTGTTCTGTGAAACACTGCAGTACTCAGGTGAATTTTGTTATGACAACATACCACAAACAGGTTTCAATCAGGAGAATGAGACTGGAAGAGCACTGAGTCAGTGCCTCACCTCATCTCCTATCCGTGGTCATGGGGAAAAGCTGTGCTGAAGTTCTGGGACCTCCCCGCCTACCACCCCCATGTTGCTGGAAAACACTGTGGCCCCAGAGGGGAGTGGCAAAGACAGCGAAAAGCAGGAGCCTAGAACCCCGTCATCCAGGATAAGTATGTAGACAGACTGCAATTTGGGAAATAGTTGCTAAGGCCACCTAATTAATTTCCTCTGTCTTCCTTCCACACCTTCCATTCAAACTGTGCAACTCCTGGATCTTTGTGAGATATTAAATAAAACAGCCTGCTGAAGGTCTGAGGAAGAGACAAGGCAAAGGAAATTTTTTAGTATATATTAGACTATATCACATTAACCATGAACAGAAACAAGGGTTACACCTTGACATAGCTTTTCTTAAACTTCATACCTTTAGAGCCTTCTTCTCGTCAATAGTTAGGTATAGGACAAAGTTTTTGGGTCTTAAGTTGGATCTTCTTATCATTTTTAACACAGTAAGTTTTTCAAAAACAGTATGTAATGTTGTATGTAGAAACAATCAAAGAAAGCTCTATATGTACATAGGTGTTATTTACCACTACCATTGCCGTCCCAGTTTGATATTTGTAGATCTATGTTGACGTACAAAATTGGCTTGTTATTTTACTTTCTCATACTGGTTTTATCAGGATTGGGTATCTAGGTTACTGTAGCCACACAAAATGAACTGGGGAGCTTTCCCACTTGCTCTGTATAAGACTTGAATGGCTTTTTGTAGTTTACCAGTATCTCATCTTTTAAACCAGTGGTCCTCAACCTTTTTGGCACCAGCGACCGGTTTCATAGAAGGTAAATTTTTCATGGATGGGGTGGAACGGTAGGATGGGGATGGTTTTGGGATGAAACTGTTCCACCTCAGATCATCAGGCATTACTTAGATTCTCATAAGCAGCACATAACTTGTATGCACAGTTCACGATAGGGTTCAGGTTCCTGTGAGAACCTAATGCCGACACTGATCTGACAGGAGGTGGAAGTCAGGCAGTACTCGCTTGCCTGCCGCTCACCTCCTGCTGTATGGCCCAGTTCCAAACAGGCCATGGATTGGTACCAGTCCACAGCCCGGGTATTGGGGACCCCTGTTTTAAACCATCTGGGCTTGGGAATTTATTTGTGGAAAGATTTTTAACTGTTGTAGTTTATGTTGTAGCTACAGAAATTCTCAGGCTTTCTATTTATTCTTGAGTCAGTTTGGGCAAGTTATGATTTTCTGGGAAATGGTAGATTTCATTTAAGTTATTAAATGTATTGATATTAAGTTATTCAAGTTGTTTTCTTTGTATTTTTTGCTCGATCTACAATTCTTCCCTTCCTCAGTCTAATATTGTTCATTTTTACCTTCTCTCTCTTTTTTTCTCTTAATCCATCAAGTTTATTGGTCTTTTCAAAGGAGCAACTTTTGGCTTTGTTGAACTCTATTGTTTCTTTTTTAGATATACTTTTTATTTTACGATAATTTTAGATTACAGAAAAGTTACTAAAAGAGTGCATAGAGTTTTCGTATTTCCGTTTCCCTTAATGTTATTGTCATACATTTGTCAAAACTAAGAAATCAACGTTGGCACACTAGTATTAACTGAACACCAGTCCTTATTCAGATTTCACCAGTTTTTTAAATTAATGTCCTTTTTTCTGCTCCAAGATTCAATTCAGGGTACCAAGTTGCACTTAATTGTCATGATTGTAGCAGTTTCTTAGGGATTTTTTTGTCTGTTTTTTGTGACCTTGACAGTTTTGAGGAGTACTAGTCAAGTGTTTTATCAAATGTCTCTCAGTTTGGGTTTGTCTGACATTTTCATGATTAGCCTGAGATTATGAGTTTTTGTAAAGAGATGAAATACCCTTCTCATCACATTCTATCAGGGAGTACATAATATCCGCGTGACATCCTGGTAGTATTTGTCACATTTCTCTACTGTAAAGATGTCATTTTTATTTTTTTATACTCTAGTTTGAAGAAAATAGCTAAGTCCAATAAAACACACTGAAGAGGAGACAGGAAATAAACCCCAACTCCTAGAAGGAGAACTATCTGCATACGTTATTCAGAATTCTTCTGTAAGGAATATATGTCTCTTCTTTCCAATTTATTTATTTAACCATTTGTTTATATCCGTATAGATTCATGTGCAGTTGCTTTATACCTTGGGTTACAATCTAATAATATCTAAATTACTTTGTTGCTCAGATTGTTCCTGCTGTAGCTATTGAAAGCTCTTTTATACTGGCTCCCTTTGATATGCCCCACTCATTTGGTTTTTGAGCACTTTCTTAGTTTCTGGCAATCTGACATGCTGCAAGCTCATCTTTTATTTTCCCTACTCTAGCCTAAGAATTAATCAGTTCTCCAAGGAGCTCTGGTTTTGTTATTGTTGTTGTTTGTTTGTTTGTTTTTTAGAGAATGGTATTTAGAAACCAAGATCTAGGTGACATGTGTGTTTATTTCTGCTGGAAAAATCATAGCTTCCAGGCCCTCTCAGTTGGACAGAGCTAGGTGATATATGATGTGTACTAAACCATGAGTTCATACTGACGTCTCCAACTGGAATCTAGGACATCAACATTCATTTCAGCATGCTTTTCTTCCTTATCTTTAACTTATCTTTTCAACAGTGAGAAATCTTACTTCCACCATCCATTTACAAAATTGTTCAACCCCTGAACTTCATGCAAAGCAGTTTTGGAATTCACCAACTAGGCTATAGTACTTGTCTACAAAACCTTTCAGTTTCCAGTCAAAATACTGTTTGCCAAAGATGAATAGGAAAGCAGCTTTTTCTCCCACCCTCCTTAGTGAGGTTATGTCATCTTTCCTAACTTCTTATGTTAGATGTGTAACTCACTACTTGCCAGCTTTTCTTCTTTTCTAAGAGTTTAGGGCTGTAACTTCCCCCACTAAATTCTGTTTTTACTACATATAGAAATGTCTTATGTACTATTTAATTAAAATTGATTCTAAGTAATTTTAACTTTTCATAATTTATTGACACAAGGTTATTTATAAGTACGTTTTAAAATATCTTGGGAGGTTGAGGCAGGAGAATGGCATGAACCTGGGAGGTGGAGCTTGCAGTGAGCCGAGATCATGCCATTGCACTCCAGCCTGGGCAACAGAGCGAGACTCCACCTCAAAAAAAAAAAAATCTAAGAATATGAAGATTTTTGGTTATTTTCTTGAGAACTGATTTCTTACCTAATTCCTTTGTGTTCAGAGAATGTGATCTGTGTGATACCAATTCTTTATCACTTGTTGAGATTTCCTTTGTGGCCAAATATGTGTCAAATATTATAAATGTTTTCTGTCACTTAAAAAAAAATATATGTATTCTTTAGGCAGTGCAAACAGGATTTGTGTGGTTAAGATCTTCTAAAGTCTTACTAATTCTTGCCTGTTTGATCTGTGGGGTTATGACCAACGTGAGTGGTGATTTACCACTGTCATGGTGGTTTTTGCTCTCTATTTCTGTAAATTTTTGCTTTGTATATTTTGAAGCTGGTTTTTGAGGAGTTGCTTTTTGTTGGGACAAAATCTCATTATGTCACACAGGTTGGTCTCAAACTCCTGGGCTCAAGTGATCTTCCTCCTTGGCCTCCCAAATTGCTGGGATGACAGGTATGAGCCACTGTGCCTGGCCCAAGGCTGTTCTGTGTTCAAGCTTAAGATTGTTAGATATTCCTGGTAGATGAACATTGTTATCATCATTTGGTGATGATCATCATAACTAATAATGATTTTTGCATGATATGTAGGTGATTATTAATGTAGCTTTCTTTTGATGAGTGTTTATCTGATGCATGTTCACATCGTTAGCCTTTCTATATTCTTGTACTTTAGTGTTTTATAAATAGCAAACTAGATTTTGATTTAATTTTTCAATATGACTATTTCTGTCCTTTAATTAGTTTGGTCCATTTACATTTATCATGTAATTGATAAAAGTAAATCACATATTAATAAAAGTAAATCACATGTTAATAAAAGTAAATCCATTTCTACCATTTTATTTTAAGCTTTCTTTTTTGGCTCATGTTCTATAAACTTTTTATTGGTATACTTTTTGTTTCATTGAAGTTATTTTCTTTAATTCTTTTTTTTTCTCTTAACAGTTTATATTTTCCAACAATTACATTTGAGATTTACCAGGCATGTTGCTGAAATTTTAAAGTCTTATGCTAATTAACAAATTTCTCCTCCTAGGTAGTTCAGAGTCCTTAGAATATTACCCTCCAGTCACCCCCTTTCTGGCTTACATACTTAAATTCTGTGGTATTTTAGTTATATCCTTTTTTCCTAAGCTTATAAATTAATATTATCTTTCTTATTTTGTACTTCGTATTTGCTTAGATTTAGAAACAATTTTCCTTTTTTCTGAAGAATGTTCTTTGGACTTTCCTATAAATGGACTCTTATACACTGTGAATTGTTATTGGGAATTTCTTTTGTTTCATCCTATTTTTTCAAAGAAAGTTTTGCTAGGTGTACAGTGCTAGGTTGATGGTTATTTTCTCTTAGAACTTTGAAGACATTCATTTTCTTCTGATTTTCTTTGTTGCCATTAAGAAGGCTCTTGGCAGGCCAGGCGAGGTGGCTCACACCTTTAATCCCAGCACTCTGGGAGGCCGAGGCGGGTGGATCACCAGGTCAGCAATTTGAGACCAGCCTGGCCAATATGTTGAAACCCCCTCTCTACTGAAAAATGCAAAAATTAGCCAGGCATGGTGCCACGCACCTGTCGTCCCAGCTACTTGGGAGGCTGAGGCAGGAGAATCACTGGAACCTGAGAGGCAGAGGTTGCAGTGAGCCGAGATGGCGCCACTACACTCCAGCCTGGTGACAGAGCGAGACTCCATCTTAAAAAACAAAACAAAACAACAACAAAAAAGGCTCTTGGCAGTACAAATGCTAGTCTTTTGAGGATGATTCCTCTTTTTCCTCTGGATGCTTTTTTTAAAAAAAGATTCTTTTGTTCTTTTGTGTTTTGTAAGTACACTGTAAGGTTTCTTTGTATGGATTTCTTTTAATTTATTGTGATTGGGACATATATGAATTTCTAATCTACCTGCCATGATATTGTATAGGTGTGCATTTCTTTTTATTTACCCTGATTGGAATATAAAGATTTATATTTGTCATCAGTTCTGGAATAGCATTATCTCTTTAAATATTGTCTCTTCTACAATCTTTTTCTTCTCATCTGAAGCTCCAATTACCCATGTACTAGGCATTTTATCTTCTATATCTTTTAATGTCTCTAAAATGTATTCTATCTACGTATTTTTCCAGCTGCATCCTGTGTAATGTTTTCAATTCTGTCTTCCAGTTGAGGAATTGGCTGCTATTGTGAAGGGCTCTACAGTAAACATGACAACTATTTTGGGCTTTGTAACTATACAAAATCTTGTAACTATTTTTGACCATGTAGTCTCTGTTACAACTATACAACTCCGCCATTGCTGTGCAGAAGCAGTCATGGACAATATAGAAATGAATTAGTGTGGCTTGTCCCAACAAAATTATATTGACAAAAGCAGATGAAAGGCCGTAGTTTGCCAACCCTTACTCTATTTCTTCAGTTCTCTCTTCAGCTCTGACATCTACTGTTTCACTCACTTATTGATTTATTAATTTCAGTTAACAAATTATTTAGTCCTGGAAATTCTGTTATTCTGTTTGATTCTTTTTGAGCTCTGCTTGATTACTTCTGAATATCTTTTTCCTTTCTTGGTTTGATTCCATTTTTTGTTTCCTTAGATCTTTTATAATTATTTCATATTATCTTTCAAATAACTGAATTTTCTATTGTTTCTGCCGACATTTTTGCCATGGTCACTTGTTTATTATTTTTTAATGCAATTAGCATTTTTTTGTAATAAACATTTATACTTAAGATTAATATGTGGGAATTCTTAAAAGTCCTGGGCTCTGAATGCTTCCCTCTAAAGAGGACTTGTTCTTGTTTTTCCTTGATGTTAGGGAGTGCACTATCCTTTCACTGATACTATAACCCATTCTAGGGTCCCATTTTTATGCAGGTGTCTCAGGCTTAGCAGCTCATCCAAATTAGGTCTATGGCTCAGTGATCCATTCCCTTGGATGCAGCTGTAAAGCTTTCTCAGTATTGATATTTACCACCAAGACAGCCATGTTGTTCATATTTGCCCCTTCTTTGCTTTCATCAGGTTCATTTGTTTTGTTCTCCCACCCTTGGGAGAATTATTTTACTTTCTAGTAAGAGCTGGACAACATTTAATATATAATTGTTGTGGCTTATGCAGTATTTAGGTGTTTTGTAGTGAATAAGGATTTGGGGAGTATCAAGTTAGTCCACCATACTGCAAGCAGAAGTCACATGAAAAAATTTGCATTTAAAAAATTATTTGGACATCTCTATGGCGAACATCCTGGGCCTCTCCTCAAACTGCCTTCTGCTTCAGGTTTCACCTAAATGACTGCTGCTCATTCATCACATTTCAGGTTAAATATCATTTCCAAACTGAATCCTTCTCTGACACTCCAAACTAGATCAGATGTTTATACTTTTGCCCTTCTTAAATGTAATTGTATACTTATTGTCTAATTTTTATTTTGTATGCATTTTCCCACTATAAACTCTATTGGGGCAGAAACCATTTCTGTTGTGCTTACATTGTGTCCCATGACCTGACCAAGTGGTCCATAAATATTGATTGAGTAAATAATTGAATGACATTGGGCCATCTGTTTACAAATTTTATAGGTGATATATTATGGACCTTCTTAAGTAAGTTTAAAATTAAATGTTTTTAAATTAATCAACTGCAATTATTTTTATGGCACATGATAAAGGCCCTACATAATCAGCAAGATAGCATCATTTTCCATCATAGAAATTAATATATTAAAATAGATCCCCTTTTTAGTATATAAAATTGAAAATGATTATAACAAAGGATAAAGACTACAGTTGGTGAGGTTGCAGGAAAATTAATAATTTCATGCACTGCAGGCCAGAGTGTAAGCTGATAAGTGCTTTCTAAAAAACCAACTTTGCAATATGTATCGAATACTTGAAAATATCGTGCATTTAACCTAGCAATATACCTTTGGGAATTTTTCTTAAGAAAACATTTGGATATGGGTTAAACATATATAGTATAAGATTAATTATTGAAGCACTATCTATGATAGCAAAAAATGGAGGAAAAATGCCTACATTTCTAAATAATGGATAATTGGATTAATTATGGCACATCCATATATTGAAATATAATTATTTCATTATAAATTAGAATATTTAAATTATATTTTAAAAGCTTACAGTTCGTTAAAACAATCAAATTATGAATCAGAATGTATAATACATCTATAGAGTTAGAGAAATAAATTATAATTATATTTACAAACTAGTATTTCAGTTATTTCTGGTTGGCATATTTATAGGAAATTTTCATTTTGGTCTTTATTTTTCAAATTTCTCTTCTCATAGTATGATATATATGAAGTCCTTTAGTTACAATATATGTTGTTTTTTAAAAATATTAGTTATAGGGCAGAGGGTGATATTTATATCAGAGAACCTCTATACCAACCTTAATTCTCTTTACTTTTATTTTAAATTGCTCTTGGTATTTCTTTCTCTTGAATTCTGGAATTATATACAGCAGTGATTTCAGTTTGGATTAGTCCAAGAAAGTTTTCTTATTTGTTTGTTTGGTCCCAGGAGAGGCCAGTTATCAATTATGTTTTGGTCCTTGGCCTATTCACCAGCACCCTAACACAAAAACGAAGTAATATGATCTTAGATCTTTATAGAGTCAGATGATTGCTTTCACCATAGTGGTATCTACCCTTTTTAAAATAAACATCCAAGGAAATTAGAATGCAGTGCAAAATCCAGACAAGGAAGGGGGGAGTGTTTGCAAAAAGATAAGAACATATTTCAGAATTTCATCTTTTAAAATATTTTTTCATAGAAAATCTGTTTTTTATATCTCAATGATCATATAAAGACACAATTAATTTCTTCTGGATATTTAAAATTAGAGGGGAAGTAAAAGGACACTGAGTGTGTAATATATGACCATCCAAGTAATACATCATTTGATTCAAACAATAGGAGGTATTATAGGTTAGGAAATAAAAAAGAAGGGATTATTGTTTTCTTCCTCATCATCTTTTATCATTTCTTATTCTCGTGCTGTGACATCCTCTCCTTTCCATTCTGTTCACAAATGGATATTGGTGGGAAATACACGAAGTGCAAAGTGACTTTTACCTGCTGTGCTGCAGGCAGAATTGACAATTCAGAAATACCACCCTCTAGGTGTCTCTCCCCTTCTCACTTTCCCTAGAGGAAGCTAAGATGTCATGCATTCCTCATTCCTCGTAGCAGAAGCAGGTGAAAAGAAGCCTATAAGTAACTCAAAAGCACCATGAACTTTGTCATTTGCTCATGCATTGCTTGTGAAATAATCTTTTACAACAAACCACCAGATTTCCAGGACAAACTTACCTGATGAGTTGGAGATGGGGTGGGGGAGCATTTAATTTAATTTAATGTCTTATTAATTTAACCACACTTCACTATACAGTGTTAACCCTGGTGTCTTTATTCAATCCACAAGCTTGCTAAGTACTGTAAACCAGGCAATGTGCAGAGTCCTAGAGATTATAAAGCCTAGGGATTATAAACACATTTATCCCTCACATATCTAAAAGCTGTGCAGGTGATAAAAGTGATTGAAAAAATAACTCTAGAAGATGGTATAGTTTTCATTAAGTAATAGAACGGATGCTCGTCAGCACTAAATAATGAATTTTCAGGAGGAATGTGGGCAGATGTGACTAAATAATTCTGGAAGTGCTATTTATACAAAGTTAAACAGATTTCTTTACTATCAGGCTTCTCAGACCCCTTCATATGCTGTGATTGTTCTGTGAACCTCCAAAAGGGTTGCGTAATTTGCATTGTTTACAAAATATTTGGGCATCCCTGAGGGTCATTGTTCCTTACAATGTGTTTTGGAAAATGTTGACAGCCATTAATTCATCTTTACTCAAATGTACTCCAAAGGAATGGATATTAAACATGTCAAAATTAGTTTTTATTGGTGTTACAAACCCCTGAAATTTTTTATTATACTGGAAAAGGGATCTATAAAATGTGTGAACACAAACTGTTCAAACAAGGGAAGTAAAGCACTAGGTTTGCACAGATCTGAATATTTAAGCAGTCTTCCTCATTGATATTTTCTCTTCTGCTCAAATGCCTGATTCTACAGCCCAGTTTTGTACCCTTTTTCTCTTAGATATTTCTTACCCTATAGTGTAGTTGTTCTTTACCTTTATAGAAACTAAATTTTTAGTTTGTTTTACCACAGAAATCATCCGAAATAATAGAAAATGGATTAGGATGAGTAATGCTGTTTACTCCTCTCATTCCTGACTTTTAGTTTAAAAATACCTTTTTCAATTTAGAGCTCACGTCACACTTGTTACAGGAGGAATTGATAATCATGACGGGATGTTCAATGTATATAAAAGAGTTTTTGCGTTTGTTTTAGAATGCAGTAATCTGCCAGATTGATGAATAGCACAAATTACAAGATTGCTTAGCTCATGGAGAAATTTAAGAAAATATGTATATAGAGGCCTTATCAACTATTTTTTGGATGAATCTGCCTTTCAAAAAGTGTTGTCTGTGTTTGTGTGCACACGTGTGTATGCAGCTTGCAGGGGGATGTACATGTGTGTGATGGCTTCTCTGAAAACAGAGTGTGACCCACAGGCAGACGTTAAGATCAGGCCTCAGTGGCAGAAGGTTCTGTTGTACAAATTCTGTTTTTTAAGAACCTTTGAAATAAATTAACACACAACTGCACTTGGTGTTCACTTGCTTATTGTTTAAGACCAGATAGAAGTTTTATGTCATAACTTTTTTGACTTTATCTGTAATTAAAAGAAGTGTATCTATTTTAATCTGTTTTATAATTTTTTCATATATTAAGCCTTTTTCACAGAGCACCCTATTTTTATTGAAATCATGTAACTTCAATAACTACAGGCCCCAGAAAAAAATGAGAATATTAAATATTGATACATAAGACTACCCTTTCTTCTCATCAGAACCACTTTAATATTTAATTATCGTCATAGAGTTAAGTCCCACTTAACATTCAAATGAGAAAATTTGTCTTTTATGTTCGAATTTTAAATAACCACATTTTAACAGAATCTTTATCAATGTCAAAGCAGGATTATTATGTTTATTTATATCTAAGGAGAAAAATTCTATTCTTAAGATTTAAAGTAAATTATTTTATTATTAATTAAAATAAAATTAAACACTAAAGATTTTCTGCTAAGTGTGAATACATACTAACTTTAGAGATCTTTTTACCAGTGTACTTAACTACAGTTCCTGCTTCTGTTTGCTTTTCACAAAATTTTCTGTTTTACCAACTATCATATAATAAAAATGTTCCAAGCTGGGCATGGTGGCTCTTTCCTGTAATCCCAGCACTTTGGGAGGCTGAGGAGGGTGGATCACCTGAGGCCAGGAGTTCGAGACCAGCCTGGCCAACTTGAAACCTCATCTCTACTAAAAATACAAAATTAGCCAGGTGTGGTGGTGCACACCTGTAATCCCAGCCACTTGGGAGGCTGAGGCAGGAGAATCGCTTGAACCCAGGAGGTGGAGTTTGCAGTGAGCTGAAATTGTGCCACTGCACTCCAGCCTGGGTGACAGAGGGAGACTCCATCTGAAAAATAAAAAATAAATAAAAATGTTCCAAATAATTTATACCCTGTTAATTCTAATAAGCAGTAATAATAATTTGTCATATTACTAATTCATGAATTCTTATCATCTTAAGTAATATTTTTATATTGCATATATTACTCATTCATTTCCTCAGCATATATGCATTAAATATCAACAATATGCCATCTGGTGTTCTAGCACTAGAGATACATTACAAAGGAAGCAAACAGTAACCAAATAGGTAAATATATCATGTTAGATGGCAGCCATATGTACAGTGGCCATCAATAAAACATTTTTATTAAATATTATTATTTAATAAATATTATTATTAAAAAATAGAAAGGTCTATGGGAATGGGAAATACACTTTCATGTAGGATGGTTGGAGATAACCTCACTAATGCTGAGTCATGTAAGTAGAGACCAGAAGAAAGTGAGCAAGCAAGCCAGGTGTGCATGTGTGCATATATGATTTTGTGTACATGTAGAGAAAGCACTCTCAGGCAGAAGCAGCAGCACTTGCAAAGGCCTTGAGCCTGGAGCTTGCTTCCTGTGTTTGAGGACTAGTTAGGAGGCCAGCATGGCTTGAGTGGAGGGGAGCAGGGCAAGTGAGGGGGTAGATAAGGTCAGATTGTGGGAAGCGGGGCTCATACATCATTATAAAGGCTTTGGCTTTTACCTTGTGTGCCACCATTACAGGAATTGAGTCAAGGAATACTGTCATAATGACTGATGGTTGAAGAGGCTCGGAGTAGTGTGTGGCCAGTTCTCTGACAAAGAAAGCGCTGGAGGAGAAAGACCAAGAGGCTGCCTGCGTACTCAGGGATAAGCAGATAGTGGCTGGGATCAGTGGATCAGTGGTGGATATGGTGAGGGAAGGTCACATTCTGGGTGTGTTTTGAAGGTAGAGCTGGCAGGAATGAATTTATAAACTGAGCTTATATAAATGATAATTTTTAAATCTCGAATACTCTGAGTCTATTAAACAAACATTCATAAAATATAACTGGTTTAAATTTCTCTCAAGGCTTTTGTAAAAACATACTTTAGAATGTATGAAAGAGCAAGGTTTAGGACTTCCTTTCTTACGGTCTTCTTTAACTGACTTGCTGATTCAATGGTAAGCATTATATTTTAAATGTCATTGGTTTTTAACGTCTCCACCTTAGACAAGTCAGATAGAAAATGTCTAATGTAAGGGTATTCAAAATACTCCATTATTGCTTTTCAAATATAACTTTCATGGTTTCATTGGGTTTCTATTGCTCGTTATTATTTTCTATCAAAATATAGCAGGAAGAGAGTAAGGGTAAGAGCATCGTCTTTGGAGGGCAAGAGACCTAGGTTCAAGTCCAGGCTCCTGCATTTCCCAGCGGTGTGACCTTGGGAATTAACCTAACTGCCCTGAGCCTCAGCAGCCTTCTCTTTTGGAAAGGAGACAGGATTGTTGTGAGCTTTATATGTTATTCTGCATATAAGATAGCCAGTACAAAATACCAGACACGTATTTAAAATTCTATAAGTGCTCATCATTATGTTTGTTTTAATAATTACAGTGACAAGATGTTGATGACACGGAAAGTATTTGCACTTATCGGGAAGAATTATTGTAGGAGGAACTGTTGCCTTTAGAGTTGACTACTGCAAAGTTACCATTTATTACCAATAATTTAGATATAGAAGGCTGCTTCTTATGCCTAATATTCAGTAGTTAATCTTGTATATATTCTAAAATAAGGATGTGTAAAGGCAAGTCCAAATTGCTAAACGTGGTATTTAACTGTCAGATTTGTACCTAATTTAGTGATAAACTCAGTAAAATGGTGGTCCTTCACTCTGTATAACATTCTTTTCTTAGCGAAGGTTGACACAAGCGAGCTTCCCCTGACTTACCTTTCTCACTTGTCATCACCTGACCCCCTGGCTCCATTCTGTCAAGCAGACAGTGGGCCTCAGTGAAATCTAATATGATAGGACAACTTACAGTATCACTGTGGATGACAATCTCATTTGACAGTTGAACAAAATAGAAAAGTTTACTCCTATTTAACCACATAGCATCTGCCAGGTAGCTAAGCCAAAAGATTATGTCAAATCAGCAGAATGATGAAGATAAGTTATTTGCTCTTTTTATCAATTTGCCTAGGGATATTCAGTGAAATAATCACCCATAACTTTATGGTATGAGTTTTCATTGTTGTCTACATGATAATGTAATTTAGGTATAGTTTTTGTCTGAATACCCAAATTCCAAATTAATGATTTATATAGAACTTCCCAGTTGAGCTTTTGTGATCATTGTCAATGCATAATTATTCATAGGTTTCAGTTTGTGTTTTGTATTAACATTCGCTCAATGGGAATTGATTCTAAAGTAATATGTGAAAAATCCATTATTAAATAAATATAAAATATTAGTATTAGCTCATGGTGCACTGCTTTGTAATTTATGCGTTAGACTTTTCCTCCTTCCTAAAAATACTTGAGAGACTAATATTTGGCCATTAATTTTTCCATAGTTAACATTCAAAATGCATTCAGATGGAATAAATGTGGTCGATATATTATTTTGCATATGAAATTAAGTAATGTTTCCCTATTTAGGAATAAAAAATTGTAAGAAATGTTTTCAAAGCATAAATTCCAGCAGCACATGAGTCTCTGAAGTAAAAATTATGTACTCTATATTGGAAAAAAAATCTCATACTTAAATGATACTTTGATTTGACTGAAAGGTCATTATGTCAGTATAATTCAGGTATAAGTTTAAAATTAATTGCTTTCATCCTAATTGACTAGTTAACAAGCATCAAACATATATACACACACACATACATATGATTATATGTATATAGAGAGGAACAAATAAAAATCTTGTTAGGAAAGTTATTTTAAGCATTTATTTTTCTTTGTTTTCAATAATTCCTGTTTCTACCTATTTTATATATAACCATTAAAATTAGTACATTGGAATGATAAATGCACAAGTCTTTGGGAATTAAAATATAATCTTTAGAGAAATAAGCTAAGCTGGGCACGGTGGCTCACCCCTGTAATCCCAGCTCTTTGGGAGGCCAAGGCGGGCAGATCACTTGAGGTCAGGAGTTCCAGACCAGCCTGAACAACATGGTGAAACCCCATCTCTACTAAAAATACAAAAATTAGCCAAGCATAGTGACAGGTGCCTGTAATCCCAGCTGCTCAGGAGGCTGAGGCAGGAGAATTGCTTGAATCCAGGAGGCGGAGGTTGCACTGAGCCAAGATCGTGCCATTGCACTGCAGCCTGGGCAACAAGAGCAAAACTGTCTCAGAAACTAAATGAACAAATAAACTAATTAGGTAGGAAATGATTCTTGTTAATTATCAAGTGCAAAAGGTTTATTTTGTTATTAAAATATATAAACAGGTTTTGAAGTGAATATGAGATTCATACTTTTTTTCCCTCTGCACTAACAAGACAGTTAAGATTTATATGTTCAAAATTTTAGATGATTGCCGTACAACCGGATACCTAAATTGATACAGAATAAATTCTAAATTTCTGTTATTTGATATATTTTACATTTTTAATCCTAATCTTAGTAAAATAAGATTTATTTTCAGTCTTCATAGCTACTTTGTAAAATTCTGATGAAACTCACATTGATTTCACAGGAATATTTAAACACAAAAATCTTGAAAAGAAACATAGCTTGCTCTCTTCCCTGTATATTTTAATTCTAATATTTATTCATATGCCCTGTATTTAAGCAAACAAAAAGAGGTCAGTGAACTTCTACATGTATCAAAAATTTCTATGTTTCTTATGACAATTAAATCTCCAGTTCTGTGTTAGCTGAATTATTATTTGGAAGAGAACCAGTTAAGACATTTTACCTTACGTTCATTATTTTTTAATAATATTTTCATTCAGGGGATTTCACTTAGTTGGTCAAATGTTTGGTACTACTATAAAACACTTTTCACTGCCATTTTCAAGGACTAGTCATTGTTTTCGGTAGATCTGGAAAATATTTATTATAATCTTTTACCTTGAAGGCTGTCTAAAAGAGAATAATTCCATTCCATTCATTCTGGGTCAAAATATAAAGCAAATGGCTGCAAATATTTCCAGTAAATTTCCACTGTAAACACAATTAATATGTATACAGTGAACTTTTCCTTGGATTTTTAAATATACATATGTATAAAATATATAAAAGTAAATGTTCGATCAATATGAATTATTGATTCTGATTTTTTTTTCAGGCCTGATGGAATTGGGACTGTTTCAGTGGAAGAAAAAGAAAGATTTGAGGAGATAAAAGAGAGACTCTCTTCCCTTTTAGAAAATCAGATAAGCCATTTCAGGTATATATTTTTTTATTAATATAAATATTTCTTTTCATACTTTACTCAACCCTTACTTCCCCCAAAAATTGTTTATTATATCATTCTACTAGCGCTCAAGATCATCAGTAGCCCTCCCTTGCCTGCAGGGTAAGGTTCACATTCTTCAGTCTGTGGTCTGCTTCTCAGCGTATCATTCAGTCTCCTGTATTCATTTAGGCTAGCCATTCCCCCTACAATATCCGTTCCACTGCACCTCTTACTTGCCTTTTGCATTTCTCATTCTTGCATAGTCTCTTCCCCCTAGCTCTGGTGACTGTTCCTCCTGCTCTCTGTATTACCAGGTAAGGAGCCCTCAAGTCTCACCTCCACAGTGGGGCCTTTCTCAGTTATTCCAGCAGAGAGTATTCTGAAGTCTTTGAGCATTTATTGTCTGTAGTATTGTCTTGTCACTTGTAACCCACATGGCTTTAAAGTCATTAGTTATCTTTTTACTTACATTCTCTGAGAACACAGGTCACAGCACCTAGCACCATTCCTTGCTCAAAAAATTAGCTATCAGCCAGTCACAGAGTCTCATGCCTGTAATCCCAACACTTTGGGAGGCCATGTGGGTTTGATCACTTGAGACCAGGAGTTCAAGACCAGACAGGGCAAAATGGTGAAACCCCATCTCTATAAAAAATACAAAACTTAACCAGCCAGACATGGTGGTGCATGTCTGTAGTCTCAGCTGCTCAGGAGGCAGAGGTGGGAGGATCACCTGATTCTGGGGAGGTCGAGGCTGCAGTGAGCTATGATCACACCACTGCACTCCAGCCTGGACGACAGCATGAGACCTTGTCTCAAAAAAAAAAAAAAAAAAAAAAAAAAGGCCACCAATACTAAGAAACATTTCAAACATTTACAGAGTAAAAGATAAATACCTTGATAATATTTCTTTTCTCCTGGTTATAGTTAGTTCAACAGAACTTAATAATTAAAAACAGAAATATGCTAACATATTTTCTTTTTCTCCCTTATTATTAGGCCTATAAAATGTCACCACATAATGTATTGTGTCTTATAACCTGTCTGCTATGTTGCATGCATGTGATTTGGAACTTATTTAAAAAATAAACTTAGTGAATATGCTCTTATTTTGCACTTATTTAAAAAATAAACGTAGTGAATATGCTCTTAATTTGCACTTATTTAAAAAATAAACTTAGTGAATATGTTCACAAAAATATTTTATTTAACCATATGAATGCTGTATGACCATGCTGAGACTCCGTTTCTTTATCTTCTTATTCTTCCTGATCTGTTATTGCCTCATTATTATTCTTTTTTGTTATGTTTCCTGATAATATAAAGGTCTTAGACTCTGTGATTTTTTTAAATGATATTGAAAGGAGAAAATCTCATAGTATATACTATAAATCTATTCCCCTACATTAGTGATTTTTCAACTGGGGCTAGTAGCAGTACCTTAGAGTAAGTGAATAAGGTATGATTTTCATTGTCATGATAACCAGGGGTAGGGAGTCATTTAGTGCTGGGTTTAAAAGTGCAGTACATGAGACAATCCCACAGTGGAGAAATATTCTGCCCAAAAAGGCCAGTAAATTTACATTAGGAAACACTGTTGTAGATAGCATAGCTGAATTCAACTTACAGAGTTAAGATTGAATTCTCTGCCTGAAATGATTTTGAGTTTACAAACAAAATGAAGACATAAAAAATTATTTTGCAGTTTTAGAGATGTGTTTCTGCATTTGCTGTTGTTGAAAGCATTGCCTTAACCAGGTGTGGTAGCTCAAACCTATAATCCCAGCACTTTAGGAGGGAAGGTTGCTTGAGCCCAGGAGTTCAAGACCAGCCTAGGCAACGTAGCGAGACCCCATCTCTACAAAAAAGAAAAACTAAAAAATTATCTGGGTGTGGTGGTGTGTGCCTGTGGTCCCAGCTACTCCAGAGGCTGATGTGGGAGGATCACTTGAGCCTGGGAAGTCAATGCTACAGTGAGCTCTGATTACACCACTGCACTCCAGCTTGGATGACAACACTCTGTCTCAAAAAAACAAAAACAAACAAAAAAAAGTGTTGTCTCCTAGGTTGTATAGAATCCTTTAAATGTATTTTATGTATCTTTCAATGAAAATCAGTGTAATTTCCCTCTTTTTTGCTACCGTTGAGACCCAGCCATCATTTTAGATATCTATATTAGTAACTGAATAAGTCCCCATTATTATATCAATGATTTCAACTGCAAGCAATAGAAATCCTGCCTCCAACTGTTTTAAACAATAAATAAATTTGCATGCTCACTTGCCTGCAGGTCTCGAGCAGGCAAGCTTTAAGACAAGCTTTATTCAGTAGCCACAGCTCTCTTTCTTTGTGATTCTCACATTGCTATTCTCTTTCATGGGATAGCTTCATCCCCAGACTAGTAGTAAGATAACATAATTTTTTTATTTTTTTTTTCTTTATCTCACACCTTAGCCGTTAAGCCTACAGAATTTCTTGGCCTCACATTCATACATGCCAGTGTTCAAAGGAAGTCGTAGAAGCTATATTTTTCTATAGTCTTCTCTTAAGATCATAAAAAGTTTCCTTAGAAGATCCTAGCAAAGTATTTTTTATATCTCATGAGCCTGGTTTTGAACCAAAACCAGTGGCCAGAGAAATTCTGTGCACGGGATGCCTCAATCAGTCACTGACATGGACATGGGATTGCTATATTGAGTTAGACTAATCAGAGCCACTCACCAAGGGACTTCAATTCCCCACACTACCACCCAAAAACTACAACTACATAGTAGTGGACAGGGATGTCCACGTCATTTATTGTATTCATTTTGTATTAGTATCGTTTTAGTTTCCTGTCCTCTCTTAAAGTTTTGTTTCTCTATTTCTCTTATACGCACATCATCTTTGGATAATTTCTCTAAATATGTACTATACAATCCTGATATGATTTGGTTCTGTGTCCCCACCCAAATCTTACCTTGAATTGTAATAATCCCCGTTTGTCAAGGGTGGGACCGGGTGGAGGTAATTGGATGGTAGGGGAGGTTTCCCCCATGCTGTTCTCATGATGATGAGCGAGTCTCATGAGAGCTGATGGTTTTATAAGTACATTTCATGAATTTTCAGAAACTTAAGGATTAAAAAATCCTAAGATCTTCCAGAAAGAGAAACCAGATTTTATACAATGAGTTAGAATGACTTCTCAACATTGATTTATTCTACAAATATTTATTGAGCTCCTACTTTGTGTCAGACAGTGAACAAAACTTTAAAAGATCCTTTTCTTCAACTTTCATTTTGATGTGAGGAGCAATACTGATATCTGGAAAACAGTAACTTCATAATTCTGAGAAACTATCATTTCCAACCTAGAATTCTATACCAGCAATAGTTTCTATTAACAGTGATGGTAGAATAATGATATTTTTAGACATGCACTAAAAAAAATGTTCCTTTTATATTCCCTTTGGTGAACTGTAGAATTTACCAAAACCAGGGGGAAACAAAGAGGATCTAAGATCCCTGAAACTGGCTGGGTGCAGTGGCTCACACTTGTAATCCCAACATTTTGGGAGACTGAGGTGGGTGACATACTTGAGGTTAGGAGTTTGAGACCAGCCTGGCCAACATGGTAAAACCCTGTTTCTACGAAAAATACAAAATTAGCTGGTCATGGTGGTGAGCTCCTGTAGTCCCGGTTACTTGGGAGGCTGAGTCATGAAAATTGCTTGAACCTAGGAGGCAGAGGCTGCAGTGAGCCGAGATCGCCTGACTGCACTCCAGCCTAGGTGATGGAGTGACACTGTGTCTCAAAAAAAAAAAAAAAAAAAAAAAAAAAATTCCCCGAAACAAGAAATCAACATGGGAGAGAGAAAGGTGTCCCTAGAGTGATGGTTAATTGAGACCCTCAAAGTGACAGTTGATTTTAGAGAGCAATCAGTTCTGACTGGAGCATGTCAGAAAATGCTTCAACGTAGATTAAATTGATAAAACATATTTTGACATGTTGAGATATTTGCCCACTTGGAATAGAGCTTGGAGTTGTATTAATTAGATTGTACTACTTTTACTAGAATTTGGAATTGTATTAGATTAAGTGTATAAAGAGAGGACATCAAAAACAAATATAAGTATGAATTATGAACAAACTATTGAGCAAGGCATGGAAAGTAATCATAGAAAATACTGTGTCTCAGTTGTCTAGAACATTCTCATAACTAATGTAATGTAGATACTGAATTTAGATCTAACCCCTGCAAAATGATGTTACTATATTAGAAGTAAGGAAGGGACAGGAATTTTGTTTATAGTGGGGGAATGTGGTCAAAAAAAAAAAAAAAAAAAAAAAAAAGAGGGAGCTACTTATGTCCAAGATGGAGCAGCAGGGGATTATATTTAGCCTCCCACCCAAAACAATTTAAAAAGGCCCCAAAAATGGGAAAAAATATTTTCAAGACATTAAACATAAAGCAATGAAAGTGATTCCTGAGAAATGGAAAAGAAATGAAGTAAGCCCTTTAGTTGCACCTGCTTACTGCCAGAAGAGCATTTCCAGGCCATGATCCAGAAAGGAGGAACCTAGGTAGAGCCTAGTGGACTCTCTGACTTGAAGAGGCAGAGCTGGAATTCCAGGGAGGCCAAGGTAGCCAGAGATTTCAGGTCAGAGGTCTAAAGGAGAGGAGAGAGCTACAGCTATTTGCAAATGATTCCCTGGAGTCTCCTGTTAAGTATTGATCATTTCATATATGTGAGGAAACTATCCAAAGTCTGGCAAAGAACCACAGGAAAGGCTTATGGGGGGAATCTCTAATGCTAACACACAGGACCAGGGGTAGTTCTAGTTTTCATTACCCAGAGTGGAAAACCAACTCATGGGTATCAGTAGAGTACTATAATCTATAGAGTACTCATTAGGTTTTGCTTCAGCCATGGGAAAAAAATTAACACAACTCTGATTCACCTAATGGGGATTAAAATCAAGATTCAAATAGGCCAAACTGTTTCCAGGTAATTTAAGAGCATTCCTGAATACAGAGATCAAGCATATTTAAAGGAATACAAAAATATCTAGACATCAACAAGACAAAACTATCTCCAGCATCTGGTGAAAAAATTTTAAGTATATAGAAAAATAGTAAAATATGATCAATGAAGAGGATTAAAAAGCCAACCAAGCAAAACTGAGAAGACACAAAATATAGAATTAGTAAACCAAATGTATTAGAAGGACTATTGTTACCATATGTTATATACAACCAGTTAAGGGCATGGATGGTAGACCTACGGCTAACATACTTAATGGTAAAAGACTGAATGTTTTCTACCTAAAATAAAAAGGCAAGGATGTCTGCTCTCACTTCTTATGTTCAAAATTGTCACAAATGGTCTAGGTAGTGCATTGATTCTGAAAAAAACAAATTTTTTGAAGTCATCCAAATTGGAAAGGAAGAAGCAAAACTATCTTTATTTGCAAGTAACATGATTATCTGAGTAGAAAATCTTACCGAATCTAAAAAATTCCACTCCAATATTTAAGTTGCAGAATCCTAGATGATTTTTTTGAGACAGGTTCTTACTCTGTCGCCCTGTCTCAGGGCTGGAGTGCAGAGGTGTGATCACTGCTCACTGCAGCCTCAACTTCCCAGGCTCAAGCGATCCTCCCACCTCAGCATCCCAAGTAGCTGGGACCACAGGCACATGCCACCATGCGCAGATAATATTTTCTTTTACAGAGATGGGATCTCCCTATGTTGCCCAGGGCTACTCTTAAATTCTTAGGCTCAAGAGATCTTCCTGCCTGGGCATCCCAAAATACTGGGATTACAGGCATGAGCCACCACACCCTGTGATAAATATATAAATATTAATATATTTCTATATACTGGCAACAATCAGAAATTGAAATTAAATAATATCATTTACAATAACAATAAAAAATATGAAATACTTTGGGATCAACCTGATGAAAGATGTGTAAAACATGTACACTGAATAGTATAAAGTATTGCTGAGAAAAATTAAAGAAAACCTAAATAGAAGGAGAGATACTGTACTCATGGGCCAGAAGACTCAATATTGTTGTCAATTCTCTCTAAATTGACCTATGGATCCAAGGCTATTTCAGTCAAAATCCCAGTATGATTGTTTTTTAGAAATTAACCTGATAATAGAATTTACATGTAAATGCAAAGAATTTACCATAGCAAAAATAACTTTTAAAAAGGACAACGTGGGAACATTAACACTGATTTCAAAATTTATAATGCTACAGTAATCAAGATAGTATGCTACTGAAAGTCCAAAAGTAGACTCACACACATATATGGTCTGTTGATTTTCAGTGAATGTTCAAGGGCAATTTGCAAAGTATACTTTTTTCCGACAGATGCTACCGGAACTATTGGATATTCAAATGCAAACTATTGACCTCAATTCATACCTCACCCATAATACAAAAGTTAACTCAAAATAGGTAGACCTAGAAAACTTGGGTGAAAAATCTGTGTCTTTGGGTTAGGCAAAGATTCTTAAATAAAACATAATCATAATTCATAAATGGAAAAAAATGTTACATTGAACTTCCTCAAAATTGAGAACTTTCGATCTTCCAAAGACATTGTTAGAATAAAAAGTTAAGTCGCAGAATAGGAGAAAGTATTTAGACGACACACATCCCACAGTAAACTTTTATTCAGAATATATAAAACTTTTAAAGTTTAATTATAAAATATTAACCCAATTTAAAAAATTGTTTTAACAGATACTTCACCAAAGGAATATTATACAAAAAGGCATATGGAAAGATGCTCAACGTCATTATTCAACAGGGAATTGCAATTTGAAACCATAGTTAGATACCACTGCATACTTAGTGGTATAGTTAAATTCCAAACAAAACAAAAACTGAACATAACAAGTGTTGACACAGTTGTGGAGAAACTGGAACTCTTATATGCTGTTGGTAGGAATATAAAATGCTACAACCTACTTTGGAAAATAACTTGGCAGATTCTTAAAAATTTAAACATTTATCATATGACCCAGCCATTCCATTCCTAGGTATTTTCCCAAGAGAAATGGAAGCATGTGTCCACACAGACTTTTATATGATTGCTCATACCAACATTATTCATAGTAGCCAAACTATGAAAGCCAAATGGCCATCAGCAAGGAATAGATACACAGTGTATGCCATGCAATGGAATACTACCCACCAATAAAAAGGAATGAACTCTTGATATATACAACAGCATGAATGAATATCAAGATAACTATGCTAAGTGAAAGAAATCAGACCCACAAAAGTAAATACTGTACATTTCCTCTTACTTAAAATTCTAGACATACAAACTAATCAAAATTATAGCAAGGAAATGAGTAGTTGCCTGTGATCTGGGGGGAAGACTTGCAGGCCATGAGTTAACTTGATTATAGTCACAAGTATATGCATATGTCAAAACTTAACCAAACCATATATTTTAAATATGTGCAGTTCCTGAAACAAATGAAGGCTACATACTTCTCTTCCGTAGTGGAAAGTTAGTAGGATAATATTTAAAATTGAAAAGTCAAGAAGTAAAAATATTAATGTACAATTGAAGGATATAAAGTTTAAATACCAAAAGAATCAGCTAAAAGTTGACAGCATTTTTTTTTTTTTTTTTTTTTTTTTGTAGAAAGCAGAAACTGGAACTGACATAAAGGATTTCTGGCTTTCATTTAAAAAAAAAAAAGATAAAAGAAGTTTCCTCTTTAAACTATGTGTATATATCACTTTGGTAAAAAAAAAAAATACTGTATTTAAAAATAGGGAACAAAAAGGGCTTAATTATAAGATAAATCTGTGCTGGTTTATTTATCTGTGCAATTAATTTGCCAAAATGGGAATAAGGTTGACTTCAGTTTATTCATGTTAGGTATATAATGTGGCTGAATTTTATTTGATAATTGAATGTTTTCCACTTTGCTTTGCTGTTATAGAGCTGCCAGAGTGGTAAAAACCCAAAATATTTAGCCTGAAAGGCAGAACAAAATGCTTCTCTTCTTTTAAAACTTGTTTTGTAAAGATTAATTAAGCTTCTATGTAGTTATTTTCTGTACTTTATTGATTCAGGATTACTTGTACTCCGTAAATGTGTTGAATTATTTACACATCATGGGCAGCTAATGCTAATTTAGAACATACCCAGTGGGACCTCAGAGCCCTGAAATGCTAAATGTAATCTGGGGATCAGTAACATTCCATTCATAAAATGTGTCACCCACAGGTTAATGGAAATAAACAATAGGGAAGACAATGGATGGATTATGCAAATACACTGAAAAGATTAAGCAGGGGGAGGGGACTACAAGAACCCAATTTGTGTTTTATTTAAACGTGGATTAAGGTTTATAATATACAAAATGATTAAAGGTACTTTGCTAATTTGCTAATGCTCTTAAAAGCACCACTGCACAGAAGAAACTATCAAAATAAATTGGTTATGGCTTTCTTGTGCGTGTGGGTGGAGAGTAGCGGAGTATGTAGCAGCAAGATTAAGAAAGGACATTTTTAGCAGTAAATACAATGATAAATGTGATATTCTGTTAAAAAAAAAACTTGAGTGACTAGATTTATATAACATTTATTTGCATCTGTGTGAGACTAATGAAAGTTTCACGAATATAAAATCCAATCCTAATATAAATTAAACTGCTGTTTTGTTTTAAAAAGGAGAAATCAATCTCTTCTATTAAAAAATAGTTGTATAAAACAAGTTAAACTTAACATATGTGCTTTTGGGGGAAATATGTTTAAATTATGGTGTGAGAAATATAATTTTATTATATCTGAGAAAATATGTCCACCAAGTGCCTGATTTATGCAAAATGACATGGAGATACATAAACTTCTTTCCAAGTTATTAGTTTGCAGATTTCTAAGTCAGAGCAAGGTGCCATCCTAAGTACAGCCCAGCTGCCTGTAGCACTTGATCCTGAGGTGGGAACTGCAGTCCTGGGAGGAGGCACTTTGCTGAATCTGGTTCAGCAAAGCAAGGAGCTCCAAAAAGATGAAATGGCCCTGATGTTCAGTATTGTTTAAGTGGAAATTGACCTGAAGCAGGACCCCCTGGTAAAGAGCAATAAACCTGTTACCATCAGGTAGCCATGAAATTCTGAGTAGCCCACTCACAATCCAGCCTTGTCTGACACTGATTTCAGAACATCCCCATGACCTGTCCTTCATTTGTTGGTGTGCAGTAGGAATATGTAGAACTAGAAATATTTGGGACAAATGACTGTATTCAAAAGAACTGCAGAGGGTTTATGTGTATTGTATGGGGAGGTAGAAAATTAGACATCATGGTAGACAGGCAAATGTCAGCAAAGGAAAGAGCTGGAATCTTGCTGTGGTATATGTGGCCACCCTAAACCACAAGTAGCCACAGGAGGAAATGAGGGAAATTATTTCATTTTCTCTTAGAACTTGAATAACAATTCTTAAACAAGAAATTATTGCAGAATGCATATTATCGCTTTACTCATGACCCTTGAGGTTCTTTTATTTACTGTATTCTTTTAAAACAAGTATCATCAAAACGTTTAAAACCTTTTTCATCACAGCTTATACTTTTATTGTTTAAGTCTTTGAAATCCTAGGGTTAGGTAAACTTTTAATAGTTAAAATTTCCCTGGATGAGTTCATGCTATAATATTTTCTGTTTGTTTCATGGTTCTTCATTAATGCCAAGTAATACAAGCAGGAATTATTTAGCAGTCTTGGGTATTAAATGTTTGACTCTTTTGTTCTTTCTTTTGTTTTTAAAGATACTGTTTTCCCTTTGGACGACCTGAAGGTGCTCTAAAAGCTACACTTTCATTACTTGAAAGGGTATGTTTGAACATTACTTTATAAATACTATTTGCTTTCTCAGTTGCTGTGTATTTTAGTTATTGAACTAGGGAGACAGACCCCGTTATTCTATGCTCTCTACTGATTCCATCACAAGTCATGAGTTTCTCACCTTTTCTTACTACATTCAGACTCTGTCTACAGCACTTCATTCTCCCTGAAGCCTTTCTGAAGCCTCACACTGAAATCCTATCCTCATATTATGGCATCTTTTTGGTAGTAATCATTTTTCCTACCTCTTTATTTCCCTCATGAAATACTTTTTTTTCAGTTAAGAATAATTGTTTTTGCTTCTCAGACTTTACAGTTGTCTTTTATTATCCTCCAACTTTATTTGTACTTCTACCTGTCGTAGTCCTCATGCCAACAAGTTTATCATTTACCATTCACAAATATATCATTTCATTCATTCAATATTCATCTCAGAATTTCTTTCAATTATTCCAGTGTATGTGTTACCTTAAATGAATTCACATATTATAGAAATGTTTCTCCCCCACAAAATAACCAGCAAACAAGATTTTTAATCCAGGTGAAAAAAATCATTTTTTAAGGAAAATATATTCTCTATTCCTATTTTTATGACAACTGAAGTTTCAAAGAGCAGTATTTTTTCATCTGTCTGTAATTTTATTCATATACTTGTTAGATGCTAACAGTTAAATAATGTGGCCAACTCCCATTTCTTACCAGAATTAAAATGAATTTCTAGATTCATCTGTAGCTCATAATTTGATTATTGTAATCCTGATTTATTGACTTCTAACACTTGATCTTGTCCATTTTCTGCTGAATTAATTTTAGATACTATATTGTTTATTAGCATCTCTATTAAAAAGCAAAGAGAGAAGACATTGTCCAGATATTACATCTCCATTTCATTGATTTAAGAACTTGGGAGATGAGGACTACAACTGATGATTAAAATGAGATCTTAGGATTACAGATTAATTTTATTTTTATATCCCTGTCTTATCCCTGATTGTTGTGGATTGTGTGATAGAAATGTGATTGTTGTAATTATGTTTTATTAGAATTTTTATAATACTGAAAGCTGCACATAACTCAGATTTTTCAAAGTATTCATGTCATCCTATTCATTAAGGTATTATGAATAAAAATCCTTAAGGATTGCTTTATTTTTTGGAACAACATCCCATCGTGGGTACCTAATACAGCTTCTCCATGTCCTGGTTTCCATGGCAGAGCCTCCTTTCTGCCCCCCAGTAGGGAAGACTTAGTGATGGCAGGATGCCCTCCTGCCCTCCATTGACAGGTGGCAGGATGAACAGGGACCTTTATTCCAGTTATAGTCACTGATCACATCTCCTGCTGAATTGAGACAGAAATGTTAAGGGTCATTTCTTCATTTTTATTTCTCTTTACTTACTGATATTGAAAAGTAAAACAAAAATATGCATGTGAATTCTTGAAACCTATGATACCTCGGAAGAACATGGGATGCAGCAGGAAATCGAGGTTGGCATCTCCCTTTTTGCATTTGCCAGCCCTTTACCTGTACTTTGCCAGAAAGTAAGTTTCTGGTTCCCAGATAATATGAAATATTACCTGGGAGACATATACATTCTAACTTTAACAGCCATTTTTGTTATGTAAAGTTTGTTGCCATGGGAAGTATAATAGTAACGTTCGTGGTTCCGCATATGAAACAAAATTAATCTTAAAGTTTAGTAATAATCACATTTAATGGTGCATGTATATTTTTTACTATGCACAAAAGGATTTTTCTGGCTGCAAAGTCTAATGTGCAGTGCTAATTAAAGTGCTAAATATTTGTCAGAATAATTGAATTTGATAGAGAGAGAATGATAAAGTTTGCTATTTTCAAAAAAGAAAACCTTGCCTAACAAAATATTTAAAATGTCATCAAAGAGTAGCCTTTAAAAAATGTTGTCAAAGGTCACTGATACTTGGATGATTAAATAAATCAGGGATGATAAAATCCTTAGTGCTGAGGCTGACTTACAAGAGAATGAAATAATACAGCATGAAATGGATGTTTTCATATTCTTTCAATATTCCTTTCAATATAAGACATAGAAATAGAGCACTTACGAAAGCATTGTCTTCTCTATATTAACATTCTGCCATATGTTTTGTAATCTGAATGAAAGTAAAGCAAGAATAAATGCATTAAATATGCAGAAAGATAGTTTTACTAATAGTGTAATCAAAACTTAATGTGAGCAGTTTTATCATTATGAAGGTTTTAAAGAAAATTATGAGTCAATGTAACAGTGTTTATAAATACATTACATTTTGAATTCTGGATGTAATTGCATTTTCCCCTTGCCCAGTAATAACATTTTTAAAGGAAAAGTCCAAAAACACATTTTAGGAGCCCAACAGAGAATAATCAGTTATTTTTTAAAACCATAGAAAGTTTTTATGTATTTTAACATTCGATACTTCATAAGCATTCATTTCACTAAGGCAAAGAGGTCTCCTTCTCCCTCTTTGAATACACTGCCGTGGTATTCACAGCAAATCACAATCATTAAAATTTAGTGAGATTAGAGGTCTTGATTTTTTTTTTTTCAGAGCTCAAAGATTATGCTTATTCTTAATGGAATTTTTGTTATTGTTCTCAAATATATTGCTCAAAAGACTCAAGGCTTTTAAATTAGGGATGTGCAAAACAAACTATTATTTGTCCCGAGAACTGTAATCTTTATCTGAAACAGCTGCTTTAATGGTGTCATGGGTCCCTGGAAGAAAAGTGACAGTCACACTGAATGGTGACCTGGTCTAGGGGAGGTTTTGATATGCATAAATTAGGCTTAGGAGGAGCTAAGGTGGGAGGATTACATTCTCAGTTGGGAAGTGCATTGCAGACCCATTACATCCCCCCAGGTTACCTAGGACCCCTCTCCCTAATAATAGTCAGATCAAGGACAATTTGTGTAATTTGTCTTTAGTATTTATTTTATGCAACATCTGTCTTTTTTCTTCCATCTGTCTATCCCCAACCCTGCCCCTCACCCTTCCACTTCCTCTCTCTGTAGGTTTTAATGAAAGATATTGCCACTCCCATACCAGCAGAAGAGGTGAAGAAAGTGGTCAGAAAATGTCTCGAGAAAGCTGCCTTGATCAATTACACTAGACTCACAGAATATGCCAAAATAGAAGGTCAGTGCAGTGAGCAATTGTCGAAGTGGCAGTGAGAGCCAACAATGCCTAGTAACTGAATTTTCTATGAGAAGTCCTTTCCTTTCCTGAACAATCCTGTGCCATGGCAAAGGGAAATGTCTCATTAAAATCTCAGCTGGTGAACTGAAGAGCTTTTTCCTATTCATTGCTTTAATATGCCTCCTGGGACTCTGCTTGAATGAAAGACCCAGGATTCGTGCTTAAGTTGTCCTTTGTTCTTATTTTGAGTTTTGAAAAAACCAAAAGGTGTTTTCATGGGTTGTATTTTTTGGCAGTACTTTAAGTATGTCTAACATTTAAACTATAGGCAGCAAAATCTTTCCTGATCAGTAACAGTGTAGTATTATGTAATTTTATTTTCTGTTCTGCAGTATCACTCAAAAAAGAAACTTGTTGATTATTGAGGGCTGAAATAAACTCATAGAACTTCCTTCGGTTTTTAATTGCTTGCAATGTACTGATGCATTTGAAAGATTAGATCTCTTGAGAGAACTGTGCTTTTTTTTTTTTTCTTTCTTCAGGCTTTATTCATTAAGGATACTAATTTTTTAAATGTTTAGAAATAAGTAGATTGGAATTTGTGGCAAAGTCACAAAATCAGCTTTTATTCAACAGTTTTATTCAACACATTAATTTATGTAATTAAAAGTAACAGGCCTCACATTTTTTGCTCAAATTGTCATAAAACTGGCTTTCATAATAATACATGCAGGATTAACTAATAGAGGGAAAAAATGCAGTTAATGTTAAATACTTATCTGAAAATAAAAGTTTCTTACCTGAAAATAAAAGTAAATAATCCTTTATAAAATTTTAGTAACTTTTTATATAAAATGGTACTCAAGGAATCATAGATTTATGAAGCAGTTGATATTAGTATAGTTTTACCAAAATTCAGGTAGGGAAAAAGATTGATGATAATTGTTTGTGTTATTATTCCTTTCTTCTCTCCAAATCTGGTCAAGCTTTCTAACAAGCATACGATAACCAACCTCCTGAGTGATTAACAAAAAAGCCATCTCATCACCATAACAACCAACATTATATCACGAGAGTAACAACATGAAACCTCCTTAGTTACCATTTTAACTTCATTAATTATGATATCATGTTGTGTTAAAGCAAAAGCAATGAACATTTGATCATTCGGGGAAAGTGGAAGATAAACACATTGGGTTTCAGTCTTAAATACTCATTCAAATAATTTTCATGTTTTGGGAGCATTGAGTATTCTGACACAGATTGGAAGAAATGATATTAAAATAGACATATTAAAGCCTTTCAGATCTGGCAAAGATAAAAGTTGTGGGGAACTTGAATAAACACCATATTGTTTTATGTAAATGTTATGTACTCTACCCAAAAAAACCTGTAAGAATCATTTTGCTCTCAACTGAGTTAATATTTTTGACTATTAACTTGTCCACGGATACAGAAAAGATATATGCAGTGCACTTTATCTTTGTATTTTATAGCCATAGAATCCATTTTAAATGGATAAAGAACCTTTTTATTGTACACATAAAAACAAGTCTCTGTTAGACAAGAGCCTATGGTAGTACCCAATGGACAGTGAGCGGGAAACTCTCCTACCTTTTCCCTTTCTGAAGTCACTTCTCTCTTATCTCTGGTCTAATGGAAGAATATTCTGGAAAATGGATCCTAGCAACCCACTGTGGTAGGAATGCTGAGCAGTCTTCTTTAAAAAATAGCAACAACAAAATGCTTGCTCATTAGGTGAGAAAAACTTCCATGTTTTTCATCATCTCCCTCTCCCCCTACTTTTTTCTTAAAAAAGAAAAAAAAAGTATTTATGTTTTATCCTCAGGACTAGACTAAGAACCAAATCAAACTTAAGTTAGAAAGTGGCCTTTTACATTATATGAACGACAAGGGTAGAGTTTGCTTTTCTCCTAAATTCTCTTTTCTTATGTTTTAGGCCCAGCAGAAAAGGAAACAGGTAATTAATATTTCTGCATGCACAAGCCATTATTTCTCATGTGGTGGTGTGATATTTTTAAAGCACTTTGTTGAGACATGATTGACAGGCAAGCTGTACATATTTAATGTACACAACTTGATGAATTTGGAGGTAAATAGCTGTGAAACGATCATTGCAATCTATAGCATAAACCTGTTCATCACCTACGAAAGTTTCCTCCTGCCCTCTTTATTATTATTAATATTTTATGATAAAAATATTTAACACAAGAGCTACCCTCTTTGCAATTTCTTAAAGTGTACTATATTGCTAACTATAGGCATTCTGCTGTATAATAGGTCCCTAGAACTTCTATATCTTGAATAACTTAGACTTTGTGCCCTGTGAATAATACCGCTTCATGTTCTCTTCTCCCAGCCCCTAGCAGTGACTGTTCTACTCTCTGCTTCTATGAGTTTAACTCTTTTAGATTCCTCATATAAGTGGTATCATGTGTTATTATGTACTGTGACTGGCTTATTTTACTATTAAGCCAGAAATTTGTTTTTTTAAGGCTGAATAATATTCTATTGTATGTATATTATGCATTTTCTTCATCCATTCATCTCTCAATGAACATTTAGGTTGCTTTCAATGAATAATGCTGCAATGAACATGGGAGAGCAGATATCTCTTTGAGATCCTGATTTCAATTTTTTTGGTTGTATACCCAGAAGTGAGATTGCTGAATCCTTTGGAGTTCCATATTTTATTTTTACAGAAGCCTCCATACTATTTTTCATAGTGGCTGCACCTAATTACATTTCTACCAATAGTATACAAGAGTTCTTTTTTCTCCACATCCTTGCCAGTACTTGCTATCTCTTGTTTTGTTTGTTTGTTCATTTTAAATAATAGTCGTCCCAACAGGTGTGAGATGATATCTCATTGTGGTTTTGATTTGCATTTCCCTGAAGATTAGTGATGTTGAGCACCTTTTCATTTATGTGTTGGCCATTTATTTGTATGTCTTTTGAGCAATGTCTATTCAGTTTCTTTTTTCATTTTTAAGTTGGGCTATTTGGGTTTCTGCTGTTAAGTTATAGGAGTTACTTAAATAGTTTGGATATGAACCCTTTCTCAAATGTATGGTGTGCAAATATTTTCTCCCATTCTGTACATTGCCTTTTTAATTTTGTTGTTTCCATTGCTGTTGGTAGTGTGATGTTTTGTCATTGATGAATAGCTCTCTTTTTCTCAGGGCTTCTATTAGATCATTTTGATTAGGAATTCTGAAAATGCTTTGATTTTGTCAGAATGATTGCTAATACTTTGTAGGTAAAGTATAGGCCATTCATCTCTAAAAATTCAGCAATATTTTTGATACAAATTTAAAGCAAAAAACCTGAGGCTATATGAATGGTATGCATTATGTTTTAAGCATATCCACCAATCTTACTTGGAAGCTGTCACAGATATTTGAAGGGCTCTTACAACAAGAAAAGAGGACCATTTTCCTTTATCACTCTTGAAAATAACAGAATAAAAAGCATAAATGCTATTAAATAAAAAGTAAGCAGTTATTAACTTTGAAAGTTGTTAATCACAGGAATGAACAAGGGTTATGAAATCCCATCAGGAAATTGCTAGGAAAGAGTTCGCTGAGTCGCTGAATTTTTTAACGTTCTATTATTTTTTTCTTGCATCCCTTATCACAATTATTCATTTAACTACGTGTGCCTGTTATGATGTGTTTCTCCTCTCTGTCTTCTCTTCAGCCCCATGCAGGCAGGGTCCTTACTGACTTGTTCACTGTTGTATTCCCAGCACCCACCACTGTGTCTGCTGACACAAAGTAGGCACTCTGGACTTTGGAGAGAGGTAGGAGATTAGTTAGTTCCATCTGAAAACAATGAAGTGAGAGACAAGTGATGAAACTTCCTAATCCTAGTTTTCTCATTTTGGTCAAATTTTGTATGCAATGTTATAAGCAAGTTTGCTTGGGTTGTTTTTAACTGAAGTCTTCTATTAAGGGCTCTATTTCTTTCTTTTTTTTTTCCCCTACCTTTTTCAATATTTGACCCCAGAAAGTGACAGGAACAAAACACTCAGAGCCACGAAGAGGAGAAAGAACACACCTACAATGATTGCTAAGTGCACTTTAGAGAAAAATGAATTAGAAAAAAATATGGGACTGATTGTCACCTCTTATGACAGCACATTGTAATAGCAACAATCCGATGCTCTTTAGCAAACTTTTTCAAACCTCTTAAGGCATTTTCTCCCCTACAACATTCCTGTTGTAGAAACAGCTTTCATCCTAGTTTACAAACAAGAAGTTCAGGGTTGTTCGTGGCTTTCCAGCTGCCATGGAGTAAATAACTCAGCCAGCTGGGGCTGGACTTAGGTGATCCTTAACCTCCAGAAGCTATGCTTCTTCCCCTGGGAGATATGAAAGGGTCAGAGTGCCCCTTTTTGAAGCCTGGGGCAGAGGCCATGTGTAGAGTTGCCTGATCTCCTTAAAGAGAGGAGAGAACAAAAGGGACTTGTCCCATATATACCTTGCTTCAACCAAACAGAAATCTTCTCCTCACAGTGACTTAGCAATCCATACCACTGGTCAACTGTACAGGTCGGCAACTCTAGGAAATATACTTTTATTAAAATGAAATGCTTGTTTAGAAAAGAGAAAAATCGGCCAGTCACAATGGCTCACGCCTGTAATTCCAGCACTTTGGGGAGCCAAAATGGGTGGATCACTTGAGGTCAGGAGTTCAAGACCAGCCTGACCAACATGGTGAAACCCTGTCTCTACTAAAAATACAAAATTAGCTTGGAGTGGGGGTGCATGCCTGCAATCCCAGCTACTTGGGTGGCTGAGGCAGGAGAATCACTTGAACCTGGGAGGCAGAAGTTACAGTGAGCCGAGGTGGTGCCATTGCGCTCCAGCCTAGGCAACAAGAGCAAAACTCCATCTCAAAAAAAAAAAAAACCAAAAAAACACAAAGAAAAATCAATGTAATTTATGTAATTTAAATTGATTGAAGGGAAAACTAAATTTAAGAATGTTCTGAAGTAACAGAAGATAGGGGTTTTTTAGAAATGTTGTTATATTCCAGGGAGAGCATGGTGGCTCATGCCTGTGATCCCAGAACTTTGGGAGGCTGAGGCAGGAGGATCACTTGAACCCAGGAGTTCAAGACTAGCCTAGGAAACATAGTGAGACCCCATCTCCACACACACACACACACGCCTCAAATAGCCAAGTATAGTAGCGCATACCTGTAGTCCCAGCTACTCATAAGGCTGAGGCAGGAGGACTGCGTGAACTTAGGAGTTTAAGACTGCAGTGAGCCATGATTGTGCCACTGCAATCCAGCGTGGGTGACAGAAGGAGACCCTGTCTCCAAAAAATATATTATATATATTAGTTATATCATGTTATTTGCATTTGGTAGCAAGGTAACCTAGCAGGGTTACCTTGTAAATGTTCTTGGTGGGGTGATGCTTTTAAAAGTGGGTAACAATGAAAATATCAATTACATGTGAAAGAACTAAAGAACTCAGATGGCTTGATAATACTTTGACACTGTAGTCTCTTGTAGTCTCTTGAGCATTCCAATAATTTTCCTCAGTTTATACCCTCTAGAAAAGAGTAAAGCTGTACCCAAAATTCATCATGATTTTGTCATCTACTGACTGCCTATGTGTCCCAGAGGTTTTCTTTTCTTTTTTTCTTTTTTTTTTTTTTTTTTATTTTAACAGAGTCTTGCCTTGTTGCCCAGGCTGGAGTGCACTGGTACAATCTCAACTCACTGCAACCTCCGCCTCCCGAGTTCAAGTGGTTCTCCTGCCTCAGCTTTACAAGTAGCTGGGATTACAGGCATCTGCCACCACGCCTGGCTAATTTTTTGTATTTTTGGTAGAGATGGGGTTTCACCATGTTGGCCAGGCTGATCTTGAACTCCTGACCTCAGGTGATCCACCAGCCTCAGCCTCCCAAAGTGCCGGGATTACAAGCATGAGCCACAGTGCCTGGCCTGTCCCAAAGGCTTTCTATTTATACTGCTTCATTAGTTGCTTAAATAGCTCTACAAAATAGGTATTTTATGGAGAGTTCACTGAGACTTCTGAAAAAAAGCGTTAACTTGCACAAGGTCCTGCTGTTGCCATTAAAACTGAGCAGATATGAGATTCATACTTGCATCTCTCAGACACCAGAGCCCTCTTCACATTCTTTTCACTGGCTGCCATGCCTCCAAGACTGATTCAAAGTAATGACATTTTATGATAAACACCTCAGCTGCGTCACAAAAGCCAAAGATTAATATTAATAAAAGCCACTCTTTCCAAAAATAATGATAATTATTTAGTAAAAAGAGAAAATGCTTATATACCAGGCACTATTCTAAGCATTTTATATGTGATGTATCAACTAATTTACTTCTTTGTTTCCCTCCCCACCCCCACCCCCGCCCCCGATGAAGTCTTGCTTCGTCACCCAGGCTGGTGTGCAGTGGCACGATCTTGGCCCACTGCAACCTCTGCCTCCCAGATAATTTTTGTATTTTTAGTAGAGCCGGGGTTTCACCATGCTGGCCAGGCTGGTCTCAAACCCCTGACCTCGTGATCCACCCACCTCGGCCTCCCAAAGTGCTGGGATTACAGGCAACTCAATTTACTTCTTAAGACAATACTTTGCAATAAATAGTATCATTATTATTACTTCTTCTCAGAAAACTGAACCTGAGAGGTTATGTAGTGTGTCTACAGTCCCATAGCTAGTAAGTGGGAGGTTCAGAGCCCACTGTCTGTCTGTTGATCTCTTCTTACACTCCCCGCCCTTGACGAGCTTGTCTAGTTAAATTTGCACTGGGCTAAAATCTTTTTGTTTATTTTTCCCCACATTCCTCACGATGTCAGGTGTTGAAAGTGATTCAAATTTGCAAAACTTACCCCCAGTCCAGAAGATTTATCCCCCTCTCCTGCTTTATTTTCTTCCACAGCGCTTATTATAATCCAACACAATGTATAGTGCATTCATCCCACTTATTGTCCTAGAATGTTAGTTCCAGGAGGACAGACAATTTTGTATTTTAACAACTTCTTATCCACAGTGCCAAGAGATGTGCCCAGCACATATTTGGTACTCAGTAAATATTTATTGGATAAACAAATGAATTTATCAAGCTACATAATAGCAGAAAGAACATCCATAAACTGGCAAGCTGGCTTGCAAAAAGTCTTTCAAACCAATTACTAAATAATTAAAATTTAGGGCAAAAACTAACACTAAAATAACAGGATTGGAAAAATTAAGCCATAATTTCTTGCTCTTATCACGGCAGGAAGAAGTGGGGGAAGCACTAATGCTGGATCAGAGAAGCCAGAGGTTATAGATGGCAGTTACATTAACAATGCCCAGTAATCTAGCCTGTTTTGATTGTTTTTGTAATTCAGTGTGCTGCTTAATTGTGACTCATAGTTCTCTTCCATCATCATAGTTCTCTTCCATTGGGAATTCTTCCAATTCTCCACTGGCAGCACAAATTTGCAGAATAAAAGGATTTTTAAATTTCATAATGGGTTAAATAAAACAAAGGACTTCCCTCTAAATGTCTTCTTTCTTTCTTGGGAATTATTTGCATGTTTCATAGAAACAGTTATTTTGAAAACTGGACATTTCTAGAAAGCAGCTGTTTTTAATCTTGGGGTTATAAAATGCTACCATTTCATTGAATTGCCTCTTTTGTGTTAAGAAATCTTTGACTTACCCTATTAAAAATCAAGTAGTTTTCTCCTTTGCTTTAATTTTATCACTAACCTACTAGCTAAATAATAGTGAGATCTTTTTTTTACTTGTAATTCTGGCATGCAGAGATAACACTGAAGCATCATGTTTCCTAATTGTTTTTTAAATCATGTGCCTTGTTGATGCAAATTAGATATTATTTTAAAAGAAGAATCAATTTGTTCTTTGGTTCAAAGACTTTCTCACAGACAAGAGCGCAGTCATACATTTGATAACAGTTCCTACTGTTTCCTGAAAATTATATAGCATATTGTGATTTAAGATATAAAAGGGGAGACTGCGCCTTAGGACTTGCCTGGACATGAGATCTTTTGCATAGACTTGGTACCTAGGCTTATGGTGAACCTAGAAATGTGGAGGTGCCCTGAACAAAAGGTAGCATGGAATGAATAAGCAAAGTCTTTGGGAGGTGAGGATTTTTCTTGGCCTTCTAGTTGCCAGGTTCCCAGGTTTAACCCCTGTGTTCTTATTTTCAGAGCCTCAGTTGAATGGGGTAGAGATGCTTTCCCAGAGGCCCAGACTGCCTACTGTCTTTGAGAGGAGAAGTTGTACTGTGGCAGTCCTTATATCATTAGGATGTGTGTGTCATCTGGGTGGTGTTTTAATTTAACACTCCATTGTACACGATAGCAATAAGTAATAAATAAAATCTGTTCTACTTAAGAATGTTTGTGTCTAGAGGCCACGTGTTTATTAAAAAAAAAAACTGCACAGTTTGTGGCAAATTTTTGTTAATGGTGAATAATTTTTACTAATATTTCTAAGATGATATAACAGTTTTCTCTGATAAAAGTTTTATGTGGCTCCTTAGGAAGTTAATTTGAATTTTGAGTATTGTGTGTCCCCATGAACTGAAGTTTCTGACACCTAAATAATAGACCTGAAATTTCATGTTCCCATAGGCACCGACAATGGCAAAAAGTAATTTGTATCTTAAACTGAATCCTCACCCTAAAAAGAATTGAACAGGTAATTAAAGAATTTCCATTTAGCTTTTTGGACAGTGTGGCTTGGATAATGAGAACTTGGCCTGAAAGTAAAACCTCTGTGACCATTTCTGCTTCTAAGTCACCTGTTGATGAGGGACAAATTGTTAGATACAAATTGTTTGCTTTAAAACAAAGACAGTAACCTGTTGTCTTTTTCTTTAGAATATTTAGGAAATTATAAATTTGTTCAAGGTTTTAGTTTATAAAGCAATACATGTATGATTTGTAAAAACTCATTGCTTGAGCTATACTGATCTAGTATGTGTGATCACCTGGATAGGGACCAAATTGAAACTTAGTTTTGTGATATATATTTTAAAAAAAAGCTGTGTGTGTGCATGATTTTTCAACTTCACGTATTATTTGGAAAATATTGGTTTTGTGAGTTATCCCTATATTAGCAAGTATTATATCAAAAATATCACCACTTTTAATATCACCCTTCTCATCAGAAACATCTTAAAGTATTGAGAAGCTATCAAGTTTATAACAGATACAAGTTTTCTAAAATTCTAATTTTCCTTGAAGACTCTAATAATAGCATTGTGGTAACAAACACTGGTTGTTTTTCTTAAAGTGACATGTTTACTTTATTCATTTGTTTTCTCAGAAAATGTCTGCCAAATAGCCAACTCTGAATAACTATACATTGTCAGTACTCTTTTCTACCAAAAATGATTCTGTAAGTGTGGGGAGGAGAGAGGCCCTGGATGCAGATAGTCACACAAATGCTTTTCCTTGAGACAGTCATTCATTGTACTTCAATATGCAAAAGTTCTTTAGGCAAACTTCCCATTTTGTCACACATACTATTTAAAAATGTATACTCTGCCGGGTACAGTGGCTCATGCCTGTAATCCCAGCACTTTGGGAGGCCAAGGTGGGCGGATCACCTGAGGTCAGGAGTTCGAGACCAGCCTGACCAACATGGAGAAACCCCATCTCTACTAAAAAAATACAAACTTAGCCAGGCATAGTGGTGCATGGCTGTAGTCCCAGCTACTCGGGAGGCTGAAGCAGGAGTATCGCTTGAACCTGGGAGGCAGAGGTTGCAGTGAGCCGTGATTGCGCCACTGTACTCCAGCCTGGGCAACAACAGCAAAACTCCGTCTCAAAAAAAAAAAAATATATATATATATATATATGTGTGTATATATATGTATAGGTATACACATACACTCAAGGGCAGAGGTTTAATCAAAGTAATATTTTTACTGTTTCATCAAGTACAGCTTTATATGATACTGGCTTTTTCTTTTACTTGAGTGCATGGTGTTAAAGAATACAGTGACAATTATGATTTGCAACCACAGCCTTGATTCATGCTAAGGCAACGGTGATTTTTACGTACTATTGCTTTTGCACCATTAGTGTAAATGTCAACAGGATGTAAAAGGCAAAAACATTTAGTATTATTTATGAAAGTAATTTTAATCTTGCAGATCCCTGAAAGGTTTTAGGTGGTCTTCCCAGTGGTTCATGGGCCACACATTGAGAACCACTGCTCCACTCCATCAATCCACTAGCTAAAAAATATTAACAAAAATGAGATAACTTTCACAGTAACAACCAAACTGTAAGGTATCCAGGAATTAGCTTTGATAAAAACATGCGAAACTTTATAGACCTCTATGAAGAAAATTTTGAAACTCACAAGTCATAGAAAGTAATCTAGATAGAGATAGAGCTATTCCATGACCTAGGAGGGATGACTTAATAATATAAGATATAAATTCTTCCCTCAAATTAATGTATAAATTCATTGCAGTATCCATCAAAATTCTAGTTTTTTAAAGAACTTGATAAATTTACCTTAAAATTTAAATAAAGTATACTGAATAACTAAGTCAACTTAGAAAAAAAAAAGTGTTATCTAAGACAAGTTACAAAGCCATCACCAAAGCCCATGATCCGGCAGACGACTACAAGCATAGGGTCAGATCCATCTATAAATGAGAGCCTGACATACTTCATCTATAGCAAACATGGGAGACAAATCAGTGGTAAAATGATACAGTGTTTGGGAAGTGTTATTTGAAAGATGGGCTTATTTAATGTATACAGATGAACTCAATTCCTCTGTAATAGAAACTTGTTCTCCAGAGAGATTATAGATCTAAATGCAATGAAGAAAATACCACTATAAATTTAGTACTCTTTATTGTAATTATCCCCAATGGTTATTTTTACTTTCTCACTTCTTAGATGATTTTCCAAGTTTGTCTAGTATCTGAGTTAAAACAAAATTTTTAACTTTCTTATAAAACATAGCGTGCCCCCATTTTAGTTCATTTTCTACATAGAAATAAATAAAACACTTAGATAACAGTTCAGAAATAGTTAATTAAATATATCCCAGATTCCCCACGATCTGGAAAAATTATATACTTCAAAATACTTCTGTCTGGTGGATATGTGTCTTCTAAAAAAGAAAAGAAAAAAGAAAAAGTTAAAACACACACACACACACACACACGGCATTTATGTAATGTCTTCTTCAGTTTGTTCCTTATTCGGAATTATTTCCTTGGCCATGATCTGTAACACTCTGAACAGCTCTTGCTAGAATCTTTCCTACTTCCTCTGAAGATGCATGGAAATCTCATTACAAGTGTTCAACACCTGTTTTCTAAAAGGTATCCAGAAGGATGTCAGTTTGCTCAGCTCACTTGACAGTGTGTCATGTACTTGTTGTTTTTTTACTTTTATATAGAATGGGATTCACAGATAAATGCAGTCTTGAAATAACAAGGCTTCTTCCTTTCGCAAGCAATTTTATAGAATTTGTCAATCTCCAGAGACTGAATTTGAAAGCAACTAACTGGTGACCTCTCATTTACTTACTAACAGGTGCCAACAGGTACACCAAGAGACATAGCAGCATGGCTTTCATGGCACCTTGTTAATCTGAGTAGGTTACATGTATGAAAAAGTCTTTTCCAATTGTACAAAACTAGAGTGATGAAAACTGACAGGTTTCTACCTCTGTATTTATCAACAGGGTTTATAAGTACCCAAAGACTGCACAGATGAAATAGTTTGGCAAATTAAGAAGGGTTCATTACTTGTAGGCCCTAGCTAAGTGACCATATAGTTTCAAGCAATAAATTAAAAGGCCTAATTGAAGCTTTTTAAAAGACACACATTTATATTTTAATTTCAAAGAGGAGCCCTTTAAAATATCCATGAGGCATCAATGCATGCACACACATTCACAGTGATTGGCAAATTTGTGATGTTAGAGCTGTAGAAATATTCAAAGTGGCACTAAGCCCAACCCTACTCTGTAAACCTGGTCTTTTACACTTGCCAATTGGGAGACTTTCTCTAAATCTTAGCATGCCCTAGAAGACCTTGATTATGTATCAAAGGAAACAAAGACATACATGCAGACATTGAGATCTTTTGACTCATTTCTCATCACCCAAGGCTGCAAATCTTTTCAAATGTTATATTTCATATTGTGGTTACTGTCTCCAAATATCTTCTCTTTCCTTCTCCTTCAATTGCCTTGCAGCTGGCAAGTCTCTGGAGTCCCTGTCCCCTGCCATTGCCCACTGAACAGACCATCTTCATCTTTGTGCCTTGCTGTGCTCTGCCTTGCCTGTATCCCCATTGTTCACAGGCAAACATTCTCCTTGAGTATGGAAAAAAGAGTTAAAGCAAGGGTCAGGCAGGAAATGAGAGTGGAGGCGTGTTGGTCCTCCTTTTATGAATAAAACAAATGACATGGAAAGAATGTATTAGGTAAGTACACTTAAAAAACAGGAAGGAATAGGCATGATACTAAAGATGCTATAGACTTTATGTGATTCAGTATTTGATTTTCAGTTTCTGAATTTGAATAATATTTAGAAAAAAATGGATACAATGTATATATAAAGAACAACACACCAGGGAGGGGACTATTCATCAGTTTCAGCTACTGAATGTGTATATGTGTATATACACATATATTGTGTATATGACATGGCTAAAGAACAGTCTTTTTTGAGACAGGGTCTCACTCTGTCACCTAGGCTGGAGTGCACTGGTGCAATCACAGCTCACCGTAGCCTCTGCCTCCCAGGTGGGCTCAAACGATCCTCCACCCTCAGCTTCCTGAGTAGCTTGGGACCACAGGCACACACCACCATGCCTGGATAATTTTTTTTTTTTTTTTTTTTTTTTTTGGTAGAGATAGGGTTTCGCCACGTTGCCCAGGCTGGTCTTGAACTCCTGAACCCAAGCAATCCACCCACCTCAGCCTCCCAATGTGCAGGGATTACAGGCATGAACCATGGCACCCAGCAAAGATCAATCTTTAAAAAAATGTATGGCTGAGTATGGTGGCTCACGAATGTAATCCCAGCACTTTGGGAGCCTGATAAAGATGGATCACTTGAGCTCAGGAATTCGAGATGAGCCTGAGCAACATAGTGAGACCCCGTCTGTATAAAAAGAAACTTAATTAGTTGGGCGTGGTGGTGCACTCCTCCAGCTACTTAGGAGGCTGAGGTGGGAGGATTGCTTGGGCCTGGGGCCTGGGGGTTCGAGGCTGCAGTGAGACATGATCACGCCACTGCACCCCAGCCTGGGTGACAGAGCAAGACCCTGTCCAAAAAAATAATTTTTTTAAAAAAAGCTATTACACAATTAGCTGGCAAAATTAACACTGGAAAAATTTTATGCTATCATTAAAATCCTATAACACAGTTATATCCAGAGCTATCCAGAGCAAAGTAAGTAGACAGCATAGAAAACTTTCTTCTCCCTCAAGCCTTCACAGTCTTTGCAGCCAGCAATGCTGTAGATATATTCGTCCCTGTGAGAGCTTTTCTTACTTCATAAACTTTGGGAGAGCCAAGGTCTCAATGAAAAGACAACTTTAATAAAACTCAAATTGGGCCGAATGTGTTTCCCGCCTCATAAATCATGTAAGAATAGAAGCCTGTGACAAATGATAAACCAAATACTAATTTTTGCTTGTGGGTTCTAGTAATCTATTCTCTGTAATTCCATCACTATCATCTCTTTAAGATCTTTAGAGAAGATTATGCCTCAATATTCCACCCCAAGATAGTCTTACAGAGTCACTGACTTTTACCTCACATGTATCTGACATTTTATGGCTCACCAGTCATGGGTCAGCACTTACTGTTGGCTTATGGAGACTGCTCAGTTTGGATTCAGCCCAGCTGTCATTGGTCTATACTCTAGTGGCCAATTCTCCTTTGTTCAACAGCTGGCCATAGGCTTACAATGAATTTACAGATGCGAAAGATAATCTAGGTAAAGTAGTTAATGTGACTGTGATGACAGAACAATTATTCCAAAGCACTATATTATTAGCATGGTTAATTCCGGGAGAATATTAACTGCAACTCTTACTTTAAATGGCAGGGTCATTAAATGAGTTGGTCCCAAAGGAAGCCATGGAATTAGGAGGCCACAGACCTATTGTTTTCAAACAAATGTGGCATTAGTATTTGTGTGGATTTTAAATACCTATCGGGAGGCTATACCATCCTGGATTAATTATTTTCATTTATATATAGGATTGCCCAAATGTGGACACTATCCTATCTGGCAATCAGTTCAGATTCTGCAGAAAAAGTCACCTTTTACCTGAAATGAGGTTTATATAAAAGTATAGCTTGATTTCAGGGAAAGGAGGAAATAATCAAAGTTTACGTAGGTCACCTTTGTTTTTTAACTTTGTTTTTCGTAACTACTGGTAGTTCTCGAAGTGCATTCCCTACACCAGCATCATGAGCATCACCTGGCAACTTGTTAGAAATGCAAATTCTTGGGATTCATCCAAGACCTACTGAATCAGAAATTCGGAATGATGCCAAGCAATTTGTGTTTTAGCAAGTCCTCCAGGTGATTCTGATGCATGCTTAAGCCAAGAAATGGAGATCTATACTGAAGGTACTCCATTCATTGATGAAAGCAGTACATAGTCCAACACTTGTGGAACCATAATATCATTTGGGTTTCAGTCAGATAAACCAGGAGAGAGTCAATGATTCCTCATTTTCTTTCATTAGTTGGCAGTGCCACATCTTAGCGATGTCACAGATAGTGGAGCAATTATAGGCCACTTGACCCTAAAGAACTGAAAAAGTAAGTTGGCTTTTGGGAACCACCTCACCCCCAGATTTTGAGGCAGTCTTCTTACAAAGTTGTATACTATCTCCTTTAGGGTACTGAGTCCAAAAGTTCCTTAGGTGCACCTAGCCACAAGTTCTAAAAACTGGCAGACAGATGGCAGGGACAGGAATGGGTTGTTTTTTTAATGGGCAAGGAAGTACCTAATTTCCCACTCTCTTATCTTGAAATAAGAAAGCCTATAAGTATTGAGATGTGGCCAGGATTGACCTCCTGGAGCCTACTTGCCCTAGACTTTGGCACCATGTAACTTACCACAGGTTGCTATGGCCAGAGCTGGAGGAAGGGTCAGAAAATCTAGATAAAAATTTAGACTTTCCAACTGAGTCATCAGTCTGTACTATGCAAAGAGGGAGGATGTTGATATCAGAGTTAAGATTCAAATTAGAGTAGACTGGGGATCCAGTAGAAATTCCCTGGCTAGCTAAGGTAGACTAAAGGGACTTATGGTTTATTTATTTATTTTTATTTTTATTTATTTATTTTGAGACGGAGTCTCACTCTGTCACCCAGACTGGGGTGCAGTGGCGCGATCTCGGCTCACTGCAACCTCTGCCTCCCAGGTTCAAGCAATTCTTCTGCCTCAGCCTCCCAAGTAGCTGGGATTACAGGCGTGTGCCACCACGCCAGGCTATTTTTTTTTTTTTTTTTTAATAGAGACGGGGTTTCACCATGTTGGCCAGGCTGGCCTCGAACTCCTAATATCAAGTGATCCACCCACCTCAGCTTCCCAAAGTGCTGGGATTACAGGCATGAGCCACCGTGCCTGGCCAGGGGATTATGGTTTATAAATGAACAGAAGGCATCTAACATTGATGAGTTACCTAAGATAGAGTATTTTCTGATCTCTGTAATTAGAACAATTTGTTTATGTGCCCAAAGCATTGTGTATATGTGTGTGAGAGTGTGTAATGTAATGTTGCTTTATATTTCTGCAGGGGGAACAGCTAGGGGATCAATCACTATCTCCTTTAGTGGGGAGAGGGAAAAGGAAGGATCCATTCCACCATTTCTTCAGCTGGGCCTAATGGTAGATAAGTTTTGCCAGCAAGCAGTCCACAAGAGTAGGCTGACAGTCCTTGTTACTGGCTGACATTTGGGGTTCCACGTAGAAGAAATTAGATGCTGTGCCTTTGGCCGTAATGTCCTTGTTCTTTACAGGCTCTCAAGGTAAAGCCTCGCTGTTTGGGCCTCACTTCAGAGAGTGCCCCAGGTGACTGCTTCCTTGTGCTCATATCCCTGCTATTGCCAAACTATAGTCCTTCCTTTCCCTTGTTTCACTAGATAGTAGATATTTTCCCATTTTCTCCCTTTTTCCACACCTCTTTTCTGATTTTCTGAAGTTATCCCTATAGTCCCTTATGAAGATTTTTGTGTTTCTCACCTCAGCCATCTCCTGAACGTCAGGACTTTTTCATTATCCATCTGATATATAGTCATTAGCTGGAGAGGGAAGAAGCAGAGGAGTGAGTGAATGCTTTTCTCTGAATGGGAGGGGGAAGAGGTGAAAGACTTCCACTTTGGACTGTTGCTAGCTTTCTAAACTCGAACACATACCCACCACAATAATTTCATTCTGAAAAACTCCATATGATATACACAGCAATTTAAAGCCTTCTTATTGATGCATCTTTGATCCTATTTCTTGCAAGCTAATAACCCTGTTCTTACATACTGCTTACATTTAATTCACTCTCTTTACAGACTTTATAACAGATCTTCTTTATGTTGACCAGAAATGGATTATAGGTTGCCATATTCTACCTTATAATCTGGTTAGAAAGAGATATATGTAAATTCTTTGAAGGCAGAAATAATATCTTTTTAATCATTGTATCCCCTCAGTGGCTAGCGAAGTACCTTACATGGAATAAAATGTTTGTTGAATCAAATTCAGGGCCACGGAATCTGAGGAGTTTAAAAACCAAAGAAGAAATGAATGCATATACAGGAATTATTTTTTCATGCTCCCTAGCTGATCATCATGGCCTAGATGCAAAGGAGGGAAGAAGATAGGGCAGTATTGGAATGGAATTATTTCCATAGTCCTTCAGTCTAACACCATCTTCAACACTATTTATTGTTTAGCTGCAAGTACAGATACAATCAGCTCATTAAATTTAAGATCATGGTGAGTGGAGGTGAGGACATTTAAAATCTCTCATCAAAATTAATTTGTGACAATTGTTACATAATATATACATAAATCATCATGTAGGGTTATTAGCAAATACTTTTTCATCAATTTAAAAAATTTTAAAGTTAAGGTCAAAGCATGACAAATTACTACATATCATATACGGATAAAAAGGAAGGTATCTCACTGGTCTTCTTCCCACATCCTGGTATAAGCTTCACCATGAGCATCACTGTGCATCCATCACGGGGACTTTGACAGGGAATAGCAGCAAGGGAGGCAGCCCAGTCCAGTGTGCCAGGAGATATGCCCCTTTCTAAGCCATGGAGTAGAATGAAACCCTACCAAAGCAAACAGTCGAGCTGTCTTTTTACATCTTTCCATCCTCCCTCCCCTTCCCCAGTAGGATCTCTTCTTAAATGTATGGAGGTATAATTAAAAATGAATTGTTTCAATGAGCCAAGGAGTGTTACAGAAAACCAAAAGTGTTCCAGAGCAAAGAAGAATCATAGCCAAGAACAATGCATTGAAATTCATCAAGCAACTTTGCTACTTTTGGCATGTTTGTTTTAAATGTCACTGTTTGAAATGTATTACAACAATCAGCAATTTGGTGTGAAGCTTGAAGGATGTAGAGCCATCTGTAATGCTTTGGAAATGTTACAAAATGAGTGAAAACAAACATTTTAAGGAAGAATTCTCAAATATTCCCAATGTTCGGCTTTTTAATGGGGCTATTGATAACCTTGTTATCTAATAGAATTATGACTGTAGAATGCATTAAACTTCTTGGCCTTAGCCAAATGGGTGAAACCAGAGACGGGATACACAGAGTACTTGATAAAAATGCATCTATTTAAAGTATTAGAGTGGCTATTATGTTCAAGTACAAAGTTTTGATCCTCAATAAATTTAATCTAGAAAGAATAAATGTTTTAGAATGTTTTTAAATTTCACTAGAACACAGGGTACTCTCAGAGTTTGTACTTAAGATAGTGTCACATGTAATAGCTGATTTTGAAAGATTCACATATAATAAGTTCTGAGGTTGGTTCTGTGATTCCTTTCTATTATTCCATACTTGTGGCTAAAGATGTGGAATGGGGGCATTTGTGTGTGATTTTTATTCAGAAAGTTGAAAATGAAAAAGAATTATAGTAATTCAAGTCATTGTAATATTATTTCTGTCTGTATGACATCAGAGGTAAGATTTTAATGTCATCTCAGCCAGCAACAAACTGTATAACCTCAGACACCTTCAACCTCTCCAAGACTCTGGAAATGGAGGATCATGATTATCTAATTTGCAGAATGCTTCTGAGGATTCAGAAGAGTATGCAGGATTTATTTCTCCTATATACTTCAGTGATTTAAAATAAGTTAAATATTCTAAACTGAAACAATATTGTGCATTGTAAAATGTGCAAACATGCAGAGTTAGGCAAAGATTCAAATAGTGCTAGTCCCTAGCACGGAAGTATGTAGGAGAAATAAATTTCTAATCTTTGATACATAAATAAATTTTATTTCCTTTTTCTTTATGAAAAACATGTTATACACATATATGAGTCCATTGAAATAATATAATGCAATATATAAGTGCAATATTTATGGGAGGCATAGATTGCCTCAGCCAGAAGGAATTTTAGAAATTATCTGGTTCAGTGCTTCTTAGCATCTGTTTGGTTTATAGACAACTTTGAGAATCTGATGAAAGATACGGTCTTTCTCCCCCACCCCAAAAATGCCTCTACATACAAAAATTAGTACATAATTTAAGGGGTTCAAGAACCCTCTGACTCCCAAACTTAATACTCTTCATCTAAAAATGGAGAAATTAAGAAAGATAAGTGATATGCTCTTGAGGCTTAAAAGTTATTTTGAAGACATTTTCTGACAAAGTTTTTGTTTCTGAAGAAAGCTTTTTCTTTAAGAATTTCAGAACTAAACATTTGTCAGTTATTTGAGAAGTGTTCTCAGACTACAGCTGCGTTTTATCGTGAGCATGCTCTCTTATCCACCCTTGATGTATTAGATACAGATGAGCTCTTTGCAATCGCATGCAAAATTAAAAATTTGGGGGTATTGATTGAATTTTTTAACATTCTTTTCCTCCCATAATTATTCTGCTGCATTCTCAGTAAACATTCATTAAATACCTGCCATGGTCCAAAGCCTGCACAAGATAACTATATGAATGAGACCCAGTTGCTGACTTTGATCTAGTACAGTTTAGCAACAGACTCATGAGCCTGTAATAGGGGAGCTCAGAGAAAGGAGCAACTCATTCAGACCCAGAACTCTGAGAAGGTCCAATTTTAAGGTAGCATTAAAGTAGAATCTTGAAGCAGAGTAGCAGTTTGTCAGGCAAAGATTCAGATAGCCTAACTCTGCATGTTTGTAGATTTTACAATGCACAATTTTTTTTAGTTTAGAATATTTAACTTATTTTAAATCACACTTATGTGGCAATGTAGTTAGTGCTAAAATATATGGGATGGTCCATTGAAGACCCATTACCTAACTTTATCAACCATACATCATCATTCTCTGAGCCATGAGGTCTCCAAACCTCAGAGTCATACTCCTCTCTGGCCTGCAAATTCTAGCCACTCAACAATGGCTCACAAATTCTGCCTTTGGAGTGTCTGTGCATCTTTCCCTTCTTTTCTATTCCTACTATCATCTTTCCATAGTTCACTGTTCTACTAAACCAGACCCTCAGGATCCATATCAGACACTTTCACCAATCCTTGTTGGAGGCAACCACCAAAATACATTTTCCTAAAATTAATTTATTCTGAGGCCCTGCTAAGAAACATTTGCCCCAAGTTATTCATAGGATATAGTCATCTAGTCTACTTATTATCTTACTTAAAGTCTCCCATAATCACCCATCATTCTTAGCACATTCTTACTCCAGCCAGGCAAGTACAAGAGCCCACGTGTTCAAGTCTCACCTTCACTGCTTTTTAGCTGTTGCATTTATCTTTTTGAGCATGTTTCCTTATCTGTGAGTTACATGAATAAAAAACAAAGCTGTTAGGAAAATGTGTGTGCTAACACGTGGGAAGCGCCCTGGCTTGTGCCTGACACATAATTGGCTCTCAAGAAAATGTAACTTTTTTTTTTTTTTTTGAGATGGAGTCTCCCTCTGTCACCCAGGCTGGAGCGCAATGGTGTGATATTGGCTCACTGCAACCTCTGCCTCCCAGGTTCAAGCGATTCTCCTGCCTCAGCCTCCTGAGTAGCTGAGATTACACGTGCCCACCACCGGGCCCAGCTAATTTTTGTATTTTTAGTAGAGATGGGGTTTCGCCATGTTGGCCAGGCTGGTTTCGAACTCCTGACCTCAGGTGATCTGCCCGCCTGAAACTGTACCATTTCTAATGGTTGTTATTACCACCTTCCTCCAAAATGCACCTCATCTGTGTCATACAGTATTTCTTCTCTAAAAATTCCTCCTCCTCTTCCCCAGGTCATTTGTTATTTCTAAGACCATGTTTCAGGCTTACCTTCCCCCGATGTCTCCCCTAGACCTGCTTTCAGCAGTCCTCCCTCACATTTCCTGCATCACCAATAGGTTTGCCTCATGTTGCTTCCAAACTTTTCCTAGGTGCCTTCTCTTCCTGACAAAATTAGAACAGCTAGAGCGGCCCCCAAATTAAGTAGGTTGTCATGCAAAGTCATGAGCCTCCTTGACTTCATGCTTCTTTGAGGATGTTGAAATGTTCATGAAACAGATGAAACATTTGATCATTCATGTCTATGGATCTTTTCAGTAGAGATTTTCTGGTTCTGAGTTGAGATTGGAAGTGTGTCTCATACTGCCTTCTACTTCCTACAGCCAACAACATTGTAGGCACACTTGACTATTTGGTGTTTCACACTGATTTTTCAAAAGAATTACTGTAATTTTTGAACCTTGTCACAGAGGAGCAATGGCTTTCCATTCTGTAGGGGAATATAGTAGGAAGTGTATATGGCTTGAGGGTTGAGGGATGTGAACCCCACATCAGTACATTGCACTGTGTCTGAGCTACAGTGAGTATATAATGAATATTTAATGAATGAGCACCGATCATAAGCAGTGTTTCACTGCATCATTGTACATCCTTTGGAATACGTTAGAACAGAGCAAATGAAAGTGTCTCCTCCAAATTTAAGGCTGAGGTTTTAGGAAGAAGTAAATCAAGGGAAAACTATTGTAGGAAAAAAAAATGCCCTTTAAGTTCCCCAGAAGAATCTCTTTTACTGAAAATTAGATTTTCTTTCCTCACAACCTCCTTGCTGAGCAAAGAGAAAGAGCCTATGAATCCCCGACAACATTTATCTTTAATGTCCTTATTGGGAACTGATCTTTACATTGTTTTGAAACAGTTTCATTACACAGGGCTTCTTTAATTTCTGCCAGCTTGTTGAATCTTAGAAAATAACTACTTTGCCTTCTCTGTAGCAGAATTTCAGGTAACTGCACTTAATCTTATTGTGGTCTCTCCTTTTTATACCAGTTCAGCTTACTGCAGAAAGAACCTTCAGCTTCAAAGAACACTTCTGCCTTCCTCCCCCACAACCCCCTCAGTTGGAAAGGTGGGGTGGGATGGTGGCTGGGAAATAGGGAGGAAATCAGTCAATTGCTAGCTGTCAGAGTTGTTTTAGGTGACTTTGTACTTCTTGAATTTAAGATCAACATGAACTATAGACATTTCAGGCCGGGAATTTAAACAGCAACAAAAAAGCATGGGTTTTGCTAATGCCAGGAATGAATCATGTGGTGAGAATGGTATTGTACTGATAATACAATACAGAGAGAAAGAAAAGACTGTGGTATCTGCTCTCTTTGTGTCGCTGACCTTGAGGAGAATTATAACTTGTTTGTTGCAGAAGTTGAGCATCTAATGTGCTGATGCACCTGTTCTTATATATTAAATGGCAAAGCACTTGCAGTTCCCTGTCATTGCTTTGTGGGTGAAATATTTCCTGCAATCTGGTGAACTGTTTTTTTTTTTTTGTCTAAATAATGTATTCATTTGTATTTCTTATTTCTCATTCTATTTCAACATTCTAGTCTCATCATTACGTCTTCAAATATGTTTGGCTTTTTATTTTCAAGGTAACATGATTATGATTTTTTTTCATATAGAGACCATGAACCAGGCATCTCCTGCTAGAAAGCTGGAAGAGATTCTTCATCTGGCAGAGCTCTGCATAGAAGTCTTACAGCAGAATGAAGAGCATCATGCAGAGGTGATGACCTGTTTTCACTGTAGTATAAAGCTATATGTAAGGCTTCACCATGGTTGTGGCTACACTGAATAAGTGGCCTGCCCATAGTCTTGATACATATCTGAACATTTAACGAATAAGCACCAACGATAAGCAGTGTTTCACTGCATCACTGTACATCCCATTGCACATTCACACATGAGAACATATGTGAATTTTCTAAAAACATAACTCCTATATATTACAAAGCAATTGTGTGTGTGTATAATTTCATGTTTATTCCTGACAACAAACACTGATGGGATCTGTGCCATGAGAAATTAGCTCATCAGTTATTGAAGAAGGGGGAAAGTTAATGACCACAAGAGGGCTTGCAGTGACCCTAAGGCAACTTTCAGAGCTATTCTGCAAGAAGATATTTTTATTTCCCAAACCAAGGGGTAATTTCCACTGGGCTTTTCTTTTTTTTTTTTTTTTTTTGGTTCTGTATTTGCTGTCTCGTTGGTAATAGCAAGACTGCAGTAACAAAGGAAAGAAATCTCACTCTATTTCTCTCATAATTCCATAAATAGTTTGCCTGCCTTTCATTGAGGGCAGTTAGTTAACACTGAGTGCATTTAGTTAACAGCAAGGGCTACAGAAAAGTCCTATAATTAATCAGCCTGCACTGCCTTCAGTCCAAATGTGTAACTGGTAAGAGGCAAAGACGGAACACAAACCCGTCTTACAATGCTGCATCACGTGCTTTTCCCCCTATGCCATGATTGCTTTGGTTTAGAAATGTAAGTTAACGTGGAAGGGGAAAATTTGTGACATACTATAAAACAAAACTTTAGTAGAAAACAATCATAAGCGTATGGTTGATAACTCTAGGCTTTCGCTCTCAACATTGAACTTTTCACTTTTTTGAATTAAGTTTTAATCAAACCTGTATTGTTTATAATTTTTTAAAGTTCTAATTACATATTAACATTCACTAAAGATCTAGAGTGGCTTTTCACCAAGCAAACTGCTCATTCTGAGACTTAAAATTCTCACTCTTTCTAATAGCCATGAGTTTGTTAACAAAAATGAAAGAGTTTTCTGACTTTGAGTTGGGTGGGGAGAATGTGTAGCATTAAATAAATATAATAAATGTCAGTGCCCTGACAGTGCTTTTATTCTTGAGGAAGCACATGAAATGAGCAAGAATAAAAATGACCAAATACATGTGAGTTTACAGAATTTTTGTATTTAATGAAGCCTAGTTCTAAAAAATCTAAGAAACTACAGGAACTACATTTTAAGCCAATTCATAGAAAAGAGTGCTCATGAATCCTTACTATAGGTAACTAAGATTTATTGTATCTGGTTATAAATATGATATCTGGTTATAAATATGATTATTCAAAACATCTGCTTTTAGCTCACACTGTGGAATCTAGTTTTTAGCTTGCATCTGTCATGTGTGAACTTGTTATGGATATTTTATTTTAAACTGAAGAAACAGCTGCTTCAATAATTTGAAATGAATTCCCAGGAGGTTCTTTTCTAGGCTGGTAACACAGCTATGTTACAATGAAAGTGATTATGTGATAAAATATATGTATGTTTTGTCTTTGTCTTTTGTTAAAAGGCATTATTGTCAGAGTGTTAGGATTTTTGAATTAAAAAATCTATTAATAATTGGATATTCAATTGCAGTATATATTTCAGCAAAACAGGTATATCTTTTATTCTCAAACATTTTACAAAAACTAAAAATTAAATGTTAATTATACTTCTTGCAATCACTAAAATGCTTGTCAAAGTATAATGTATCCAAACACAATTAAAATGTATATCTTATTTACTAATCCACAAAATAAAGTTGACTTTATTAAATAGAGATAATCATTATTCATAAATATCACTATACGATATACTGAAATATAGGACTATTATGATGACCTTTTTTAAAGATGTTTTGTAACACTATGGCAATTGTTCTACTCTGCAATGCTTCCAAATTCTTGGAAACCCTCAGGGAAGAGAGGTGAGTAAAATGATTTCCACTATTTTATTAGCATAGGATACCTCTTTTATGTGAATTTAAAATACAATCTACTCTGATTGTAGTCCATTTTAAAGCCAATTAGTCCTTTCTTTGAAATTACAGAATGTCTGTTTTTCTTTGAATGTGCTAATTTTTGTTATATTGTTTTGTGTATGTATATTATTAATAATTGCTTGCATAGTTACTGATGGCCATCTAAGTAAAACATGACTGAAGGGATGTTGATATTTGGTTTGTGTCTTTGGTTGTTTTTTGTCCTTTAAAAAACAAAGCAAAACAGAAAATCTCACGTTTTCTCTGAACAATATTGGGGAGTGAATTGGTCTGATTCCAGACTGACTTCCAGAGTGAATTGGTGGACTGCATTCTGCACTGATACTTATTTTGCTGGATGTTCAAGCTAGAGTTCCTTTGCTCCATGAAAGAGCACCTGGCTCAGCTCCCTTGGTGGAGGTTAATGTATCTGCCTCAAAGAGACCTTCAAGTGGCTCGCATGTCAGCTCCTTTTATTTTCATTCTCCCTCTCTCCACAGTGGCAGTTTACTTTACAGGGCTAAGAGGTTGTTTCTATCCTTCAACAATTTCTCAGTTAAGCAGGTTTCATGTCCTTCAGATCTTTGACAGTACCTTACCAGGCAGTTTTCCCTTCTCTTTGAAGGCCTCTCAACCTCTCTTCTCAGGCTTTTCTGCAGAATTCCTGTGTTTTCTCCTTAGAAAGATAGTTTAAGTTCCTTTCCAGAAAATCTTTAAGGCTGTCTCCACATTTCAGTGACCAGACCATCTCTGACCAGATATTTTAGGCAAACTGATCTGACAACTCTCCATCTAAAAGCCACTTTCTTTGACAGAGCTAGGAGGTGTCAGATGCCTGCTGAAAAAGCCATAGTCCCTCACCAGTATGCCCCCCTCCACACACACCATTTTGCTGATAAGAAAACAGACCCAAGAAAGTTGAGCAACTCACCACAGATGCACAGCTAGTGAGTGATTGGGTGAAGACTCAGGCCAGGCTCCAGACCTGGACATTTTCCAATAAACCACATTGCTGTTTTGCAATTTAAGTAGAATTGCAGGAGTGATTGTCCTGCCTTAGTTCTGCTGACAGATTTGAACCACAGCATCACAACAGGGATGTAGATGCATAGCGTGGTGATCACAATGCAAACCTGGTGATGTCCCTTTCCATTCTGTCATTCTCTTCCTTCCTTGTACTCTGGTATATCTCCAAGGACTCTGCCTAAGGGGGATGGATGGAGTGCGGAGAATATCAGTAGAAGGGCTGAGAGGGAGGGATCATGAAAAATATGAGCACGACTCAAGTCGTTACTTGGTTGCTTATTATTACAGCAAAATATTGACTTAAGATCCTTAAAATATTTTAAATACGATGTCATCCACCAAATCCATTCCACCGTGGGCAAGAAGGTTGTTTGGCAGTAATTTGGTATTTGCAATGCAGACAGCTCTCAGTTCACTGCAAATGGTTGATTCATTTGCTGGGCTGCTTCAACAAGAGCCTGGACAGTGAGAGTTCAGTGTGAACACACGTATTTGTGCATATGTGCATTCCCCTAAATATCAGTATCTGAACCAAATTATGCTTCTGGTTGGATTCTAATGTAAAGAGAAAGGGTATTTGATTTTTTTAATTTATTTTTGTTTGTGTGTACCCTTATTCCTCTCCAACTGGCATGCATGCCTAAGGAATATACTAAAGTGTGGTTATGCAAAATAATTGACCATGAACAAAATCGATTTCCTGTCGACCAACTAGATTACAATAGTCTCAGCAGTTGAAATGACCTCAATTACACATTGTTGATATCTGGATAGTCAGTGAGATAAATCTTTTTTTAGGATGGGTTCAAATTTAAAGTTATATTAGCCTCTGACCAACAAATGTCCCTCATCTTGGAAGAGGATGACCATCAAGTAGCTTGCATACAGCTCAGGTGTAGAAGTAGAATTCCCATTTCAGCAGTGACTGTCAAAACCAATTGCATGAGCATGAATGCTCTACCAAAAATGTTTGTTCATTATTTACTGATTTATAATATATATGAATGAGGATAATACTTTACATTCTCATGTTTTGGAGCATTTTCAGCTCATCATCTCACTTGGTTATTGCTATATCTATGTTTATGAACCTGATTATCAGTGAATCACGGAAGTTGTAAAAAACTTATGATTAGTTAGACAATAGGTGTCACCTGTTCATTCGTCTGTCCCTCAAGAGAACTTAAATATTTTTAGAATATGGCCCTCAGAATCATGTCGCTGTGTATGTGAGTATGTGTGTATGTGTGTGGCAGGGGCAGGGGATACTATAGACACTGGATTGTCTCCAGAACCTTTAGGATTATCAACAAAGTACAGAATTGCAAACTAATCTTGTCTTGGGGAATAAATAGGCACAAAATGTATTTCAAAGTCAGACTCACTGTTTTTGCTCGTTTAGGCAGCCATCCTCCTTTTTTGTTTTAAGTTATAAATTTTTATTATATTTTGAGGGCAAAAGTAATAAGGCCAGGTGCGGTGGCTCACACCTGTAATCCCAGCACTTTGGGAGGCTGAGGCGGGTGGATTACCTGAAGTCAGGAGTTCAAGGTCAGCCTGGCGAACATGGCGAAACCCCATCTCTACTAAAAATACAAAATTAGCTGGGCATGGTGGTGGGCACCTGTAATCCCAGATACTTGGGAGGCTGAGGCATTAGAATCACTTGAACCTGGGAGGCAGAGGTTGCAGTGAGCCGAGATTGTGCCGCTGCACTCCAGCCTGGGCGACAGAGCAAGAGTCCACCTCAAAAAAAAAAAAAAAGTAATCAAAGGCCTCAGGTTTTAATAAAAAGTAGAAAAGATATAAAGAAATCAAGCCATAAATCAAAAGATACTAACAGTGGTCTGATCTGCTGATGGTAGATGGATGGATGGATGGATGGATGGAGAGAGAGAGAGATGATAGGCAGTGTGCCATATGCCTCCCTTAAGAAGACACTATATGTGTAAGAACTTGGTCTCTAGGCTCCAGCTGACTTAGATTCAATCATTGCTTTGTTATCTACCAACTGTATGACTTTGGGCAAGTTATTTAATCTCTGTTTGCTAACCTATAAAGTAAGGATAATTGTACAATCTACCTGAAATAATTGTTTGGGGGACTAAGTAAGATGATGTTTATAAAACCTTTAGAACAGTACTTGGCACATAAACACCATTTAATTTGTGTTGGACATTATTTTTAAAACACATAAACTCACATAAGATTTATATGAATTTCAACACATATTTGTAATTACTGATTGCGGTAGTCAACACATATTTGTAATTACTGATTGCGGTAGTCAATTATTACATTTGCACAGCAATAAACTTTTATATTTATTTGATTTTCACAGCAACACTGGGAGAGGTTAGGGCAAGTATTGTTATTGCCTATTTGCAGATAAATAAATGAGAATCCACCCAGTGAACTGATTTGACCGTTATCACTCAAGTATCATCACTAAGCTCAAAAGCTCAGTACTCTGCTTCTAGGTTCAGGGTTCATTTTTACCTGCCACTGTTGTAAACTATATTTACTACAAAAAAAAAAAAAAAAGGCTTTCCAAGTATTGTCAGCTTGCCACATATTTGTATTGCTTATTTGTATTATTAATCCTGTATAAGTTTTGTTTTTGTTTTTGTTTTTTGTTTTTTTTAAGACAGTGTCTCGCTCTGTCACCCAGGCTGGAGTGCAGTGGCGCGATCTTGGCTTACTGCAACCTTCACCTCCCGGGTTCAAGCGATTCTCCTATCTCAGCCTCCTGAGTAGCTGGGGTTACAGGTGCACACCACCACCGCCAGCTAATTTTTGTATTTTTAGTAGAGACGGGGTTTCCCCATGTTGGCCAGGCTGGTCTCGAGCTCCTGACCTCAGGTAATCTGCCCTCCTCTGCCTCCCAAAGTGCTGGAATTACACTTGTGAGCCACCGCACCCTGCCAGTAGTAAGTTTTTTAAGCTGAAGGACTTAAAATCAAGGTTTGTTTTATATTTCCCTCTTAAGCAAATTAAACATTGCCTTCTGCCTCTGCCATCTCATTTACACTAATTAGTGGCTTAGCATTAAAGCCAAAAGAACTTTAACCCAGATAATCATGACTTCTGTTTAGTACCCTGTAGATGGATGCATTTCTGAGGGAGGTTTTCTCCTCCCTGGTGGAGACCTTGATGCTGTTGAATCTCAGCCACCCCACAGGAAGTAATACCCTAGGGAGGGAATTATACAGCCCCTCATCTTCCTACCAACCCAGGGTGGGATGGCAAGAAAGAGAAGGGGACAGGTTGTAGACAAGACCCTGTATTCTCAAGATAACTGCAACTGTTGCTTTCATTTTTCAAAGACAGTGATTGCTTAAAGCGTTATTTAGCCATCATTAGGAGAAGAGGCATTCATCACAGATTGGCTTACATTCATTAAGAATAGCATCATCAGGAGTACAACTTGAGATATAAATATATACTTCTGCAAAACAATGAAATTTTCCAGTTGATGGCAAAATCTTGCCAACCTGAAGCTGTTTTGAAAAAAAAAAAGTGTATTCCATTTTATTTCATTCCTCATCCTGGCTCTGTCTTCCAAGTTAACTTTAAGAAGACCTTTAGGAATTTTTCTCAGAGTCCTGAAACAACCTGAACTAACATGACTGTTATTTTCTTAATTTTAACCTTTTGCAAAGATATTGGCTGTGAACTGGAAGTGAGATTTTGAAAATGTCTCTTTGCAGGACTGCATTTTTCTGTGCTGCTCTACTCAGAGCTGAGAATCTCAGGTTCTTCTTTTGTCACCACTATAGCTACAAAAGATAGGCGCAAGATCTGTGTAATGAAATCATGTATACTTTTTTGTGTGTTTTTACGTTAGGTCATATACCCATTTTATCACATATTTAACCAAAAAATATTCAAAGGTAATATATGCAAAAAACAGTATGCTCAATTTTCATCATGCATACCATTCCCAACCAGTTTTCACATTCATATATTGGTCACAGCATTGAGCCAGGCATTAAAATGTCCCCAACTCTCAAATCTATTATTTTATACTACACTGTTCTTCCTTAAGTCAGCCTTTACCATCTGCTAATTAATTACATGGCAATCTTTTTAGTTACTGATTATTATTTTATATCTATTATTTTAAGGCCATATTTACTATAAATGTGAAACATGAAATTTTTATAAACATGGAAAGTTCTTAAGAAAATAGTGTGTCAAAATTTTGCAATCCCCTTTTTTGTGGTTTGTATTTTCCTGTTATAATCCAATTCATATTTGAAGCCAGGTGCCGTGGCTTACACCAGTAATCTCAGCACTCTGAGAGGCCAAGGCCGGCAGATCACTTGAGGCCAGGAGTTGGAGACCAGCCTGGCCAACATAGCAAAACCCCGTTTCTCCTAAAAATACAAAAACATTAGCTGGGCATGGTGGCATACATCTGTGGTCCCAGCTACTTGGGTGGCTGAGGGATGAGAATTGCTTGAAGCTGGGAGGCAGAGGTCGCAGTAAGCTGAGATCAACCCACTGCACTCCAGCCCAAGTGACAGAGTGAGGCCCTGTCTCAAAAAAAATAAATGAAATGATGACTGGCTGCTGAATGGAGAATGGATGTGAGCAAACACTTTTCATAAAGAGCAATTTGCAATGTGTGAAGACTCTAAAATGCATACCCATTAATCCAGTAATTATTAGAAGTTTATCCTAAAGAAATAATCAGTGCTATATTCAAAGATATTTATGTAAAAATATTTACTACGCTATCATTGAGAATAGCAAAAAATTGAAAACAGCCATTTTAATAGGGTAATTGGTAAAAAAAAAAAAATAACAGTATATCCTTATAGTAGAAGATTATGCTATTATATTAAAAGTGAAATCACAGGAAAATCTTATAAAGTGTAATACCAAATGTTTTAATGTTTCTATTCACAGAAAAAAAAAGAAATATTGGAAGTAAATACACCAAAAAATTCAGAATAGACTTGTTTAAATTATGAGATACAAATAATTTTTCTTTTTTGTTTTATATATGTTCTAAATGTTGTAAACTAATCATGTATTTCTTTTATAAAGGAATAAATGTCCTTGTACATTTTAATTCTATTTTCTATTTCATTCCTCAGTGCCAAATCTATGATTTTAATGTGTACCTATAAAATTTTTCTCAGGTTAAAAACTATTATATTTTGTTTATCATACCTGTTTGTGAAACTAAGACATGTTATAAAATATTTTCAACTGGCACAGTACTTGTGCATGTTTCTAAAAAGTAATCTACTTTTCTCCTTTATGTTTTTATCCTTTTGTAGGCATTTGCCTGGTGGCCTGATTTATTGGCTGAACATGCAGAGAAATTTTGGGCTTTATTTACAGTGGATATGGACACTGCACTAGAGGCTCAACCGCAAGACTCCTGGGATAGTTTTCCTCTTTTCCAACTGCTTAATAATTTCCTCCGAAATGACAGTGAGCATTTGCGTTTTCTTTCATATGTGAAATGGGGAGGGGTGGGAGAATGTTGAATGTGAATGTATTTTTACTGTGCCCTCACACCGGCCTGACAAGAGTTCGCATGGGTAACATTTAGGTTTGCTCAGCCTGCCCGATTATGTCAGGCCAGAGACTAAGGGAGCCCGGGGAGACTCCCACACTCCAGTGGGCTCTGAAGGTCTTCTCATTTGCATCCTCCTACCTTCACTGAAGTCTGATAACCTAGGCACCCTTCTTTATGAACTTTATTGTACCTTATGAATCTGAAAATCTTCAAAGGCTGGCATTTCTAAAGTACTTGAGAACATTTACATCTCTGAAAGACCTTAATAATTCATTATTGTAGAAATCATGTTATGTTAAGGCTCCTGCTTAAGTCCATTGCGGTAATATTGCTGGCCTGAGAGTTGGTTCATTTGTACAGATGATAGGGAGATATTGCTGTGTGGTATGACTTGCTCATTCAACATTTAGAAATTAAGGAGAATGTAAAAGCTCTCTATTGATACTTTTATTCTCAATTTAATAATAAATTTTACAGTCATTCTGGTAGATGGTCTTCCAGCAAACAAAACAAACTGTTTTTTATCAAGATTTTAACATACGGATTCCTAGGCCTTTCCTGTGATGCTTTTTTAAGTTTCATTTAGTCTCAAGTTTGGTTACCACTGACAACCTTTGTTTCAGCACTTGAAGTGACCATGGAGTCACTAATTCCCTACTGAATAAAATTCTTGTCATGATGCACCAAGATGAACTCTGCCTCCTCCTAACCTCTGGTTCTGACCCATTCTCTTTGATCAATGCAACAGTTGTCTTCTGTCATGTATTTTCTTCTGCTACTCTTTATTCCTATATAAAACAACTCTGTCTCACGATAGGGTTTTCGTGCCCATTGCCATTCTCATCACCTTACCCTGAATAGACCTCACTCCATTTCTCAGTGTTCTTCTGGAGTGTGGTGCTCAGAAGAACACAGTGCTCACCATGTGACCTGAATAACCCAGACCCAAATGAGAGGTGCTTTCCTTCCTTCTTCCCTGTCTTCCTGCAGCCCAAGTCTGCTCTGACTCTCCAAGGAACTTCTTCACACTGTTAATACATTTGGAACTTTTTTTATTATACTTTATTTAGAACGTTTTATATGTTAAAACTGCACATGTTTTTGCTGCTCTCATCCCAGAAGGCCACTGCTATATCTTTCTGGTTGTAAACCTAAACTCATGTTTTTGTAGTTGTCTTTGTTTAAAGAAAAATCTTTATTGGTTTTGTTCATGGCTCTAGTCTAGTCTTTCTTAACTTCCTTTGGTTGTTCACCTCTTTGAGTCTGTGATAAAACTGGTGGGGGGGAAATCACATAGACATGAAATCATTTGTAATATTGTACTTTCCATGGACATCCTAAATTTAGGGCACCAGGTTAAAAACCTCTGTTCTAGTAAGGGAGGCATCATGTTAGAGTAATTAACAACATGAGCTTTGGTGCTAGACAGATTCACGTCTCTCTGTCACTTACTACTTGACCTTTGACAATAGCTTAACCTCTCCAAACTCTAGGTGCTATATCTATAAAAGAAGGAAAATAATAGCACCAACAGTGTCATTGTCAGTGAGCATTAAATAAGATGATAACTCACATATAACACAATAAATACTGTAGATTTTGTTAGTCTTATTCATTCTCCTATCCAATTTCATTTCATTTCCAAAGATGCTATTATAAGCTTACAATTCCTACCTTAGATTCAACCATAAGGCCTGCTCTCAGTGGTTGTTAATAAAACCACATGCAATTATCCATATGCGAATCATTCATTCTGCAAATTATCCTAAGCCGGTTTTTTGTTTGTTTTGTTTGAGACAGAGCTTGTTCCATCGCCCAGGCTGGAGTGCAGTGACACTCCCAGTGGCACTTCCAGTGGCCTCCGAAGTTCAAGCGATTCTCATGCCTCAGCCTCCCAAGTAGCTGGGATTACAGGCGTGCACCACCACACCCAGCTAATTTTTATATTTTTGGTAGAGACGGGGTTCCACCATGTTCACCAGACTGGTCTCAAAATCCTGACCTCAAGTGATCCACCTGTCTCAGCCTCCCAAAGTGCTGGGATTACACATGTGAGCCACTGCACCTGGCCCTCAGCCAATTTTTAAGTTCCAGTTTGTTTCCTTCCTGCCAGCTAGCCAACGTGGAATGACTGTCTTCCTTTCCCAATCTTCTGTCATCATTCATTTTCTGCTATGAAATTACAGTCAGGTTTTTAATATTATCTTAAGACAAATGTATAACAGTAAACCTGCTGCCAAAAATAAGTATATATATTAGGCATTAAGTCCCCTAAATGAGAATAAGTAAGTAAGGTATTTTTGTTTTGTTTTGTTTTTTTGTTTTTTGTTTTTGAGACTTTTGTTTGTTTGTTTTGTTTTGTTTTGTTTTGAGATGCAGTCTCACTCTGTTGCCCAGGCTGGAGTGCAATGACGCGATCTCGGCTCACTGCAAGCTCTGCCTCCACAGGCGCCCGCCACCACACACCTGGCTAATTTTTTTGTATTTTTAGTAGAGACTGGGTTTCACCGTGCTAGCCAGGGATGGTCTCGATCTCCTGACCTCCTGATCCCCCCACCTCGGCCTCCCAAAGTGCTGGGATTACAGGCATGAGCCACCGCGCCCGGCCATATGTAAGATATTTTTTAACACTGTTTTCTCTATTTGAATGAAAACTCAAGAATCAAACATACTTAGATGTATTTTGGGGGTTATTTTAAAATGAGGCATTATTCATCAGAGAAATGCAAATCAAAACCACAATGAGATACCATCTCACACCAGTTAGAATAGTAATCATTAAAAAGTCAAGAAACAACAGGTGCTGGAGAGGATGTGGAGAAATAGGAACACCTTTCCACTGTTGGCGGGACTGTAAACTAGTTCAACCATTGTGGAAGTCAGTGTGGTGATTCCTCAGGGACCTAGAACTAGAAATACTATTTGACCCAGCAATCGCATTACTGGGTATATACCCAAAGAATTAGAAATCATGCTGCTATAAAGACACATGCACACGTATGTTTATTGCGGCACTATTCACAATAGCAAAGACTTGGAACCAACCCAAATGTCCAACAATGATAGACTGGATTAAGAAATGTGGCCCATATACACCATGGAATACTATGCAGCCTTAAAAAATGATGAGTTCATGTCCTTTGTAGGGACATGGATGAAGCTGGAAACCATCATTCTCAGCAAACTGTTGCAAGGACAAAAAAACCAAACACCGTATATTCTCACTGATAGGTGGGAATTGAACAATGAGAACACATGAACACAGGAAGGGGAACATCCCACACTGGGGCCTGTTATGGGGTGGGGAGAGGGGGGAGGGATAGCATTAGGAGATATACCTGATGTTAAATGACGAGTTAATGGGTGCAGCACATCAGCATGGCACGTGTATACATATGTTACTAACCTGCACATTGTGCACATGTACCCTAAAACTTTAAGTATAATAAAAAAAACAAGGCATTATTAATGTTCACCATCAAGCAATTAGGTAAGATGATGAATATTTTAACTTATTCAAAATATTGTAATTTATTTTATAGAGAAAACAAAATATGTTGTGGATTTCTTGGAAGTTTTGTTGGAGAACTTCTACTACAATGAATTAATATTTTTTGATGATATTCCATTCATCTACAATGGAATATTCATTCATCTACAATGAATGGAATTACTTATCTACAATGAATTACTTATCTACAATGAATGGAATATCATTAATTCCAATGAATTAATATTTTTTCATATTTATTTTTAAGAAGAGGTTTTTCAATGCAAGTGTAAATTTGTGGGGTAATAAATTAAAACTACATAATTTTCATAATTCTAACTATAAAATGTAATTTTCAATCATGTTTACAAATATTTAATTCACATATTAAATATGTTTTATATTTCTCTCCTGATTTAACTATTTCTATACATTGACTACATATCATCTTGTGTTATTTTGTTGTACCGTACTCAGTCAAAACAGAGAAGCATTTAGTACTAATCTCTTTTGAGCACTCAGTTTTGAGGGTAAGTCTAGGTCTTGGCTTTTATTTTATGGTGATTTGCAGATTTTAGAAAACCTCAATTATTTCTGAGAAAAACAGCTCCCCCATGTAGAGAGGTAAACAGAAAAGTTCCCCAGTGTCATATTTTCCTTTTGGTACTGAGAGTGTGGTGTGATCTGGGGAACTGAAATAAAATGCAGTGACTTTTACCCCAAACTCACAAGTTTCCATCCAAAATCAATACCACTGAGTAGCTGATAAAACATAATTCTTCCAGCTGTTAATATCACCCTTGGTGATACTGAAGACCATTGTTAATAATTGTGTGTTTGTTTTATTACATTCCTTAGATACTGAGTTATTTAGTGAATTCAATTCAAATGTTTAATGTCAACCTGCAGCTGCCCCCAAATTGTCCTTTTGGAAAACTATGGGAAAATATTGAACTTCTATTCTTTTAGTACCCCTTGAAAGAAAAAGAAATTCTTACATTGCGGCCATGGCATTACAGTTTTTACCATGTTGACCCAATTAGAGTTATTGTCTAAATTCGAAATAATTACAACTTTAACTAGCCAAAGGTAATAGGACAGAGAGCTCTGAATGTCCAATATTAGGAAGGGAGTTAATTTGTTGAAAAACAGTGCTTGCTTACATCGGCATCAGTCTGTGTGTGTGTGCGTTACACAAAATAGGCTGCTAATTATATTTAGATTTTTAAACAGTTTGTGATTTATTACTAATAATGTTGCATATTTATGTTTGCTTTCCCAAAATTTAAAATTACTAAGACCTTTCAAACTAATGGAGACATTAGTTAGAATTTGTACTTAATTAGTGGCTTGAAAACTTTATAGCTGAGTTGGGGGGTGGTTCATGAATAATTCAGTCGTCCTAATTGGTTTCTTATCTTCCTTAGATTAAAATTTGTATGCTTCGATGTTTAAAAATAGTTTTTTATCTTTTGGAGTATGGAAGGGATCTTAAACAAAACTCTTCATTTTCTAGCTGTGGAAACCTAATGCCTAGAGGCAGGAACTCGGGCGGGGGGCTTGACAGCAGGGAGTTAAGGACAGAGATGAGTCAGAGCCTGAGTACTGGGTCTCCAGTTCAGTCTCATTTCATTGTATAAAAAGCAGATTCTGTGGGCATTTATAAAATAATATCATCTTTTTAAGGAAGACAAGAGAGTCCTTGAACTTTTATTTTTTAATGAGGAAATATTTATAAGGGCATTGTGTTGTCGGGGGCAGAGGAAAGGAGTTGGTTAAAGAGTACAGAAAGGATCAGATAAAGGTATGTGTGGTCTCAGCATGTATGTTAGGAACCATCTGTGACAAGACTTCTAGAGACTGAACTAATTAGTGAGGGAAGGTTCAAGACAGCAAATTCGGTTTCTATTTTAAGGAGAAAAAAATAAAAAAACATCTGTCTGGGGTGTGTGCCTTTCCTTACAGTTAGCCATGATTAGGGAAAGTCATAGCTTGGAGAACCCTTGGAGATGAAATGTGGAGAACCCTTGGAGATGAAATGCGGTTTTCCTCAAGGGAAGAGCACCAGCTGCACCACAATTTTAGCAACTGTCCCCAATGTCCCACCCCTCACAGACTCACTCACTGACTCCCAGAGCAAAACTGATGATGAAAACAAAGTCAGCCTCCATTTCTGGCCAAAAAAGACCAAGCTCTCACTTCGCTCTCTACCCTGCCTTCATCTACCCCAATCTACTCCCCTACTAAAGAGGTAATTTAATGGGCAATCAGTTTAAATGGTATCTAAGGAAACACTTTTGAAAGAGAGATGTATTCAAATTGAGGGAAGATAAATGTTTTCATAATGAAGTAATTGGCACGATGGTTCAATGATACTGAGTGACTATAAAGCTAGTACAAATAGATTCTACCCTTGCACACTATTTCCATAGTTGTTCTGTCAATAATAGATAAGGCAAGTGACCACTTCTGACAAATGAAAGCCATCTGCAAATGGCACAAATCATTTCTTTCAGCACTACTGAAACGCAAACCCTTGGAGCTAGTCACCTTTTAATCTGTGGATATGCTAGCAAGTGGCAAATGACCATTCTATTGGGAACTGGTTCCCAACTGAAAAATACCACGGTGCTGCTTCTTTAATTAACAGCCTTTTCACATTGCTAGCACATTAAAGTCATCCCAAAGAACACCCGTGCTTATATAATCAATGTCACAGCATCTCTGCCTAAACGAATAATAAATGTTCCTGCTCTACACTAAGTGAAAACCTATTCTCGAAGACTTTCACCTTCGTAAAGATGGGCTCATAAAAATCGAAAAAGGAAAAATTGGAATGTGGTCTCATGAGGATAAAAAGGCTAGTGTTAATAATTAACAAGGAGAGTGAAGTGGAGTCAAATTAGCCATAATAGAGCCCAGAGTGACTGGCAAAGTCACCTCTCATTATCAAAAAACTCATTAAGAAATGAAGAGGTGGAAATCCTGCTGGGTTATTCTCACACTTAGGCTGTATCAGAGATTATTTTTCAGATTTCTTTCAAATGAAGGACTGTTAGGTCACCATATTGTATATTAGGTTAATCTTCAAGCTTTGAAATATGGAAGGCTGACACCTGCGTGTTATTCTCTTTCAAGTGCTTAAATGAGCTGTTCATCTGAAATTCACGAATTGGTGTTTATAGATATATCTGGATATACATAAACCAGGGACAATGCAGAAAGGGTATAACATCTAGATTGCAGCAAATCTGTGCATGCCAGATTAGTTTTATAAGTATGCACTTTACAAATGATGAAATAAGGGCCAAAATGTGAGAATGTATTTAACTCTAATCCCCAGAGTTGATTGGATTCAAAATGGTGTGTCAGAATTTGTTTTACTGACCAGTATGGTAAATGAAATATAAAAGCAAGGAGTCACTACCTTTTTCCCCTCAGTTGAATTCCACAGTACTGTTCTAATTTCTTTTTTTTCTTTTTTTGTTTAGTTTTGTTTTGTTTTTGTTTTTGTTTTGTTTTTTGAGATGGAGTTTCGCTCTTATTGCCCAGGCTGGAGTGCAATGGAGTGATCTTGGCTGACCACAACCTCCGCCTCCCAGATTCAAGCAATTCTCCTGCCTCAGCCTCCCAAGTAGCTGGGATTACAGGCATGCACCACCACACCCAGCTAATTTTTTGTATTTTTGGTAGAGATGGAGTTTCTGCATGTTGGTCCAGCTGGTCTCAAACTCCTGACCTCAAGTGATCCACCCGCCTCGGCCTCCCAAAGTGCTGGGATTACAGGCGTGAGCCACTGCGCCCTGCCTGCTCTAGTTTCTTTCCTACTTGTAGACTTTTTAAAAATTTTAATCTGCTTTTTATATTTTCATAGGGTTTAGTGGCTTAAAGATAATCACCTATTCTAAAATGCCAGTGTGTTTCTTGTAACAGATCACAGGAACACCTGTAACTTCTGAAAACCATGGGCATCAAGAAACCCACCCTTGGCCGGGCGCGGTGGCTCACGCCTGTAATCCCAGCACTTTGGGAGGCGGAGGCGGACGGATCACGAGGTCAGGAGATCGAGACCACGGTGAAACCCCGTCTCTACTAAAAATACAAAAAGTTAGCCGGGCGTAGTGGCGGGCGCCTGTAGTCCCAGCTACTCGGGAGGCTGAGGCAGGAGAATGGCGTGAACCCGGGAGGCGGAGCTTGCAGTGAGCCGAGATCGCGCCACTGCACTCCAGACTTGGTGACAGAGCGAGACTCCGTCTCAAAAAAAAAAAAAAAAAAAAAAAAAAAAAAAAAAAAAAAAAAAAGAAACCCACCCTTGAGAGAGTTATCGATCATGATATAGCTGTACTCAATCATTCCCATTGATGGGGCAAGTATTGTGGGACATTAACTCAAAGATTAGAAGGCTATGCATAGCTTGAGTAAAATTACAGACTTTTCTATTTGCCTTTAATATTACATAATTTCATTTAAAAAACAGCATGAGGACTGCTGGACCATAAGACTTCTTTACTTATCTTTGCCTTATAAGCTTCGGTTAATTAAGCTTTTCTGAATTAGTTTCACAAGAAACAAGTGCCTAATGCCTACAATTTACAAATCCTAGGCTCCTTGCAAATACATGTATAAATAAGAAATGATTCCTCCCCTTGAAAAACATAAAATCTAGTGGAGGATACGCACATATATACACAAATAACTTGATGCAGTAGATTGTAGAAGTATAACTCAAATTATGTGTGCCATTCTATGAAATTTTTTCATTATAGTTTTAAATTTGGATGTGTTGCCCAAAAAAGTAAGAAACATTTTAACAGCTGTGTTCTATCACTTCTTGTCACTTTCTCTCCCTAGGTAGATGTATAGGTGTATAAATATATATTAGCAAGTGCCCCAAGGGAAAAGGAAGAACTGGGTGTGGTTTTAGGGGTTATTATACTAGTTAATGTATACATTAATATTACCAAATATAAAATTACTTGTCAAATTTTTAATTAAAAGGACAATAGAATCCAGTGTGTTTCCTAGTCTACTTAAATGGGATGTTCTTGGAGTTTCCCTTAGGAGGTAGATTTTTATTGATATTTATTCAATAATCAGACATTTATAGAGTGCCTACTTAATGTGCCAGATTCTTGGCTGGGTGCTATTCCTAAATCTCAGGGAGGGAGGAAGGGGTGAGGGGTGGGGAGGGCGGCGGGAGAGAGAGAGAGAGAGAGAGAGAGAAGAGTGTTTTCCTTTTACATAATGCTGTTCTAGACTGCAGTTCTGCTGGCTTTTCTCCTGAAGCCCATATTCATATTTTCTGTTTCTGTGATGGAGGTCTTCATTATATGCATTTGTCAACATGGAGAGCGACTTATTAATTTTCTTAGTCCACTGTGCTTGCATTGCTCAGGGTTGATATAATTTTTAGTCTCTTAAATAATTGTTTTATGGCAAAGTCTGTTGATTTTATTGTGATTTGTATTGTCTGTTTGTTTTGCTGCTAATGAATTACCCATTTCCTTCTGAAATGCCTAATGAGAAGTTTGAGGAGAAAAATCATTCTTTCTAGTAATCCACTAAAGCTAGCTAATTGGAAGAGGATGAGCACTATAAAATTGGATTATATGGGTTCAAGAGTCAGCAGCATATTTTTACCCTAAAAACAATATATGAATTCTTTTATTTGCTTATTCTTTATTTTACCCAGTGATTATTGTCTCAGTAATTGTTATTAATTGGATCATAGTTTAAATTTAAATTCTCTGTTGAAATCTTACTACTAAAAGCCTATGACAAGTACTTTTGTAAATGAAAGAGGCTTTTTCATATGAAAATAATCAACACTAATTTATTATCGGGGATTTTCAAAATAATTGGGCATATTGCATCCTGAGTTTAGCTTATATTTAAGCCATTTGTTTTCTTTTTGCCATTTCTAATTGTACCATAGGGCTCGATGTCATTGATGCCTCATTATTTTCTAACAAGGTGATATTTGGAAACATGGAATCTTTTCGGGAAAAAAGTTATTTTTTTATCTGAAAAATAGGTGCTGGCTTTCCCCTCAGGCGGTAATCACTTTTTGAGACTCATTCTGAGCAGCCCTTTTCACTCTCTCATACTTGAGTATGGTGTCAGAAGTGTTCTTGGATGTGGCCGCATTAAGAACTTGCCTCTTACAATGAACTGTTGTAATGGGTGCTTTGTAAAGGCTTGATTTGGACAGGTGACAGCCCCAAATCATAACCTATCCTTATTAAACCATATGGAGAAGATAGAAGCACTTACTCTGATGCCTCAGGCTACATATTAAGAGGGCCTTTTGACAGTGTCTGATAGGAGTGGAATGCAAGCTGCCATATGGACAACGAAGGAAGGAGCATACATTTACATAGACAAGTGTAGTGTAGGGTGTATTTCTGTAGCTTGTCTTTGGAAACCAAATATTCTCTTTCCTTTCTTTCCCCCTCTTTGTGTATTTCTCTTTCTTTCTCCTCTAGTCCCTCCCCCACCCCTCCTCTCCCTCTCCCCTCCATCATTTTCTCTTTGTCTCCCCCATTTCTCCCCCACTCCCTCCTTCCCCTTTCTCTCTAATTACCAATGAAATAATACTGCCAATTTTCTAAAATTTTCAAGTGTGGGTTTATAATTTTTTTCAAATAAAAAATAACTCTTTGCTGAATTCTGAGCAAACTTTTGGCTAGAATTTAAGATTTTTTGTAGTTCATAGGAAATATAGGTAATCTTCATTTTCTTTAAATTCTGCAGGATATAATCATTTGCTGTCAAGATTCATAACTGACCAGAGAAAATCCTTTCTTTGCCACATTCATTAAAATAAGAAACATAAAATAACCAACTTTTATATTCATTAGAATTTTTAGCAGTCCGATCTTGTACATATGGGTTAAAAATAGAACTTATAGCTGTATTATTTAATGCTATATATTTTATACAAAGTATGAGGCGTATACACAGGCCTCAATAGGTTTTATAAGTGCCATTTAATACAATAATAATGTAATAATCTTAGCCTTCAAATATTCATTCATCCAACAAACATTTGATTACTTGCTCTGAGCCAGGGACTTTTCTGGAACTTAGAATACAGACATAGTTCCTGCCTTGAGAACCTTACATCCTTGTAGGCAGCGAGAAATATGTCAGCAAGAAATATGTCAGCAGGAGAAGACCACTTGTATGACAAGAACCACAGTGGAAACCTGTCCAGGGTAGAGAGTAAACAAGAGAAGCCAGTAATTGGGCAAGGGGACAGCAGAAGGAAGCATTTCTAGAAAGGATTTGAGGAGCAGGTGTATATTGAATCGTGAAAGTCATTATGACTGTATCACAGGAAATGAAAGGTAAGACAACAGAAATGAGCTGGAGAAGTAACTTGTAGACAGGTCTTGGAAAGCTTTCATACCATGCTCAGGCTTTTCAAGCTTGTCATAATGATCCACTAAAGGATTATAATCTTTAGGAGTGACATTCTTAGTTTCATATTTCAGCAAGCCCCTCTGCTTATGATTTTGAGAAGATGGATTGGCAGAGGAAATATTAGGATCCTAAAGACCAGTTAGGTTATTATTGCATTAATCAAGACAGGAGATGAGAGGGCTGGACTATTGCAACAGCAGTGGTGATGAAGAGAGCACGGTAACTTACTGAAAGATATTAAGGATATAAAATACACCAGTCTTGATGACTAATTGGTTGTCAGAGTGAGGAATGGTAGTTTTATAGAGGTTAACAAGGAGTTTTTCTATCAAATCCTGGTTCTACTAATGACTAAATGATCTTAAACAAGTATCTTAAACTCTCTATGCCTCAGTTACCTTATTGATAAGTTTAAAAAAATAGTTCTAGCCAGGCGCAGTAGCTCACACCTGTAATCCCAGCATTTTGGGAAGCCGAGGCGGGTGGATCACCTGAGGTCGGGAGTTCGAGACTAGCCCGACCAACATGGAGAAACCCTGTCTCTACCAAAAATACAAAAATTAGCTGGGCATGGTGGCATGCGCCTATAATCCCAGCTACTCGGGAGGCTGAGGCAGGAGAATCGCTTAAACCCAGGAGGCAGAGGTTGCAGTGAGCCAAGATCGTGCCATTGCACTCCAGCCTGGGCAACAATAGCAAGACTCCGTCTCTAAAAAAAAAAAAAGAAAAAAAAAATCCTCCCTCGTAGAGTTTCTGTGATGATTAAATGAGATAAGGCACATATAGGACTTCACATAGTGCTTGGTACTCCAAATATGCTAGGGATGAGGAGGAGGAAGAAGAGAATGAGAGTTCTTAAGTAGAGACCCAATAAATTCAGATATCAGTATATTTTTTAATTTGCATACTACAGTGAATTAGATGGTTTGAGTGAGAATATTTTATCCTTAAAGTTTAGCATGCTTATTTAGGTGGCATTTGATAAAAGGAACTGAATTATTTGAGCTATAGTACCTTCTAGCTCGATGATTGAATCTCCAGGAATAAATAAAGCTTCTTTCAGTGTGCTAATGAAAACATCATTAAGATAACATTAGTCTCCTAAATAAGACACCTATCATTAAATATGATTATTGTTCACAATTTAATGGGAAATGTTTTAGCATATAGCTGAGCTGGGAAAAGAGTATTTAACCACAAAAAATACTAACCCATATCAATTAGAGGTAGAAAAAAAAATCTGTTATATTTCCTTCTGTGTTTAGAATTACTTCCCACACCAATTTATGTGCCTGTAGTTGTCCAGCCTCAGAGAAATTTCAGAAACGCATAAAGTAACATATCGAAGCCATCTTCATATACATGCCACAGTGATAAACATCATGTACTTTGACAAGAGCTAAAACACTATTAGGCTTTTGGGATGTTTTTGCTCTGAAGAAGATAATGTGGGAAGTTGTCATAGTGAATATTTTATAAGACACTGCTATTGGAGTTGCTAGTAATTAGATTTAGTAACTATAAGCATATATAGCTATTCAAATCCATAAAAGTGAATGAGATTACTAACTTTTCCCCAGCTTCTACCTCTTCACCCTAGTCAAAGCCATTATCATCCTTTACCTAGTCTATTGCAGTAAACAACTGAGTATTAACCTTTTTCTCTGTTTTCACTCCTGGCTACCTACTCCATTTCCACACAGCAGCCAGAGAGATCATATCATGTCACTCCTCTGCATAATCATAAGCATCATAAAGCTTCCCATCACACCCACTAAGAGCAACACTCCTTACTCAGTCCTAGGATCTAGACCCTGCCATGGGCTGCCCCTCCCCCTCCCTCAGTCTATTGCAGTTACTCTGGCCTTTCATCTTTCTGCAAAGACCCAAGCTTATTCCTTCCCAAAACTTGTTTGCTAGCTGTTCCCTCTACCTGGAAACCTCCCCTTTAAGTCTTCCATGGAAGGTTCTTCTGTCTCTTCAGGAATACCTTTCCTGACCACAGAGTATATTTTTAAATCAGCACATTTTCACTTTGAGGGCCACAATGGGGCTTAGGACATGTTCTTTGAGAAATATTTACAATCTATAGTACTGTCATCTAAAATAAAGTCTTTGTTAAATATTACTTAGCATTACTGTTTTCATATAGATTCTCTATTTTTTAATGGTGAAACTTAGGCATATACTCACCTATATTTTAATAAAATTGTATCATCTGCATAGAAAACATTCATCGCCTGAAAAAGGTGAGTATACCTTGCCCAGCAGCCTTGTAGCACAAATTCTAAGATTTCTGTCACTACTTTAGGTAGGATGTTCCATACTACCATTTATTAAAGACAAATGGAAAACTAAAAAATCCAGGTCATGTGCTGTTTTTAAATACAGATATGCAAAATTGAATGACTAAAAAGAAAATCCACAAATAACTATAATGTTCATGAATCAAAATAGATATTCCCAAACCCACAGACACCCTCCTAGTGAACAAGAATAGCTTTTACAAGTCATCAAGCTTACCTCTTAGAATTGAGAAGGTTTAGCTCCTCTGTGATACACAGCATAGCACAGAGATTGTAACTCTGCTTAATTGCTGTATTTACATGTGTCAGGACCTTCAGGGGAGCTGGCAGCTCCCTTGAATTTCCAGCGAGTGGTCATGTGCCTATGTGTTAAACCTCTTAGAAAATAAAAACATACCACCTGCCAGGAGAATTTTAGAGAGATATAATCTATTTGTGTTTTGACAGCCATATATAGAAGGCTAATTATACTTTTTGATCAATTTCCATGATATGATATTCAATATGGGGGGTATGATCTACTCTCATCTGCATTTTATCAGTTCTTCTGTGTCAGACTCTCTCAGAAAACGTGTTTTTTTGGCCCATATTTTCCAAATGTCTGATATTATCCCTCTGACAAACACTGTTTCTGCTTGGCTATTTCAGCACTTTTGTGTAATGGAAAATTTCACAAACACTTGCAAGAAATCTTTGTACCCTTGGTTGTCCGCTATGTGGATCTCATGGAGTCTTCCATCGCCCAGTCAATTCACAGAGGTTTTGAGCAGGAGACATGGCAGCCTGTCAAGTAGGTATCTTACCTAGTGTCCGTAGAGCACCTGCCTCTTCAACCCTGACCTTATGACTTCACACATGGCCATCTGTAGTTATCGCTTATGGTGGTCCCTTCCCACGTTGTTTGTTTCTTTACAGGAATATCGCCAACAGTCTTCCCAATGTAGCTCTTCCAAAAGTTCCAAGTCTGCCTCTTAATCTTCCACAGATTCCTAACATTTCTACTGCTTCGTGGATGCCTTCTTTATATGAGTCCACGTGTGTATTCCTCACTTATTTCCTGGTGGTGTGTTAGCTGGTGCATGGCCTGGGCTGTGTTCTGCGCAGATGTGTTTAGACTGCATGGCATTTGTCATCGTTGGTTGAGGAATACTGTTTTTTTTTTTTTATTTGAGTTTTTAAGCTAGTAAGCTAAGCTTAGCATATCTGTGATGAATAATGTCAATTAAAAAGAAAAAACACGCTAGTTTAATGTAGTTCATATATAATCTGTGGGACAGGAATAATTTGGTGGCATTCTACCCTAAGTAAATCATTTGGTGACATTGTACCCTAAGTAAAATAATCAGAGTTCTCCTTATGTATACAAAGCATTTTGAGGATTCTTAGCTCCAGCTTTATTACTGCCCAGATGACTTATCTTGTGCAAGTAGAAAACCTTTGGAAGAATGGTTTCAAGAATATAATATTTTTCTATTTTTATCTTAGTCTCAACTTTTAAAAAACAGTACTGCATCATTGCAGGCCCTTTCATTGCCAAAACCAGGAAGTTCTTCTTTTGTTCTTTTATTATATAGTTGGTACATCTTGGTATTTTTAAATAGTCTTTATATCATCAAAAACCATATTTATTAACTTCACATCATGATGAGCTTGCCTATTGCAGAATCAGCAACTAAGAACCACTGAAGTGAACAGGAATGGGCTTTTAAATTGATCAGTTCTGAATTTAGATCTTAGCTTATTAATTGTAAATCCTTCTTAGCCTGAGTTTTTTCCTCAACTCTAAAACAATTATGACACCTAAATGAAAGATGTTTTTGTGATGATTTAAAAAAAAAAAACTGTATTGAGGCATATCCTAGGCTCTCAGTAAATTATTAGTACTATTGGCATATCCTAGGCACCCAGTAAATGATAATTACTACTACTCTACATTGTTGTTTTTGTTATTATTACTATCATCAGGCATCATCATTATAATTTATAATGGTATAGTTTTTAAAACTATGAGCCTCACAGCAATCAGAACCAAGTAATAGTACTAGTTTACAAATGGGAAAACTCGGGCAGTTACCTGCTTTGCCCAAGATCTCATATGAAATCAACTAGAAAGAATAATCATGAGAGGAAGAAAAATAGCTTCCATTTATTGAGATTTTACTGTTTCCAGTACAGTGCCAAGTTATTTATCTCATTTAATCTTTATAACAACCTCATATCATTATCCCCATTTTACAGTTAAGGAAACTAAGTCATAAAGAAACTAAGAAACCAAACTTACCCAATATCTCACAGCAAATAAGTGACAGAGGCAAAATTTGAACCCAGGTTCGTTTGACTACAAATTCCTCACTCCTATCATTAATTTGTTCTGCTGTCATAGAACGTTGTGTTTAAGAACTTGCTACTTTTCTACCTATCCCACCACCAACTGCAAATCCACACCCAGTCAGGTATGCACACAATCAAGAAAAGAAATAGGAAAAGACCAAGAAAGAGAATAACTTGCAAAGTAATTTGGCAATATTTCTCCAAGTTTAACATCATAACTGCATTCATAATACTCACTAGGATATTATGTTACATGTGAATTTTTTTTCTTACAGGCAAATGCTTTTGGTCATTAGAGTGTGTAAAGTGGTGTCTGTGTGTGCTCAGAAAATTGCCTACAAACTATAATGAACCTTTCTAAGTGTATGATTTTTTTGTTCTTTTTTACACTGTTTTATAATTTAACTCCTTTTCTTCCTAATTTCTCATCTATTTAACGCTTGATTTTAGCCAAGAACACTATCATGGGCATTATCCTGCGAAATTTATTTTTTTGTTAGTAATCTTTTATTAACTTTGGGATTTGTACAAACTCTGAATCCCTTATTGAGGGCCCTTTTTTAAAGTATGTTAATTTCAGGACAGGAATAATGACAAATTGGGGCTTTGTAAGTAAAGTGATTGTGCTTTCACCATTCTGGGGAAATTTAAAAATGTGTTTTACAAGTTGATCACCATTATCTTTACCTACCAAGGTTATCAACATTAGGTTCTTTGTCAGAGTGTCCAGAATTACTCATAATGTTATGATGTTATTGCCATTTGTTTTTTGAAGTTTGAAACATTAATAAAAAGAAACATTTATATTTAACATAAAGAATTAAAAATACAACTGCTGATTAAATAAGAAGAATATAAAAGCAACCATGGTTTTGAAGATACATCCCTGCCTACCAATGCATAAATCATGCAAGGATTGCTCATCGACATATGTATCTGTATATAAATCTTTATTCTGTTTTTTTTTCTCTAGAAATGAATGCCAGCAAGTTAAGTTTCCTGCTGGCATTTTTAGGAAATTATCTCAGAGTCTACTACTCACATTCGAATTCTTTAATCTGTTAATAATACCTTTAGGAATAGGCCACCAATTAGAAATAATTTTAAAATGAAAAAGCTCTGAATAAATTGCAGGTTATATGTACCAACTCCAGAGAAAGCCTACTCACATTTTTTTCATATATCTATCTAATTATAACAAACACTTGTTATCTTAATTACATTCCCAATTAAACACATTTATTGTCAAGAATCTTACCATAGAATCAAACAGAAGAAAAATGTAACCATATTCTCTATGAAGATTGCCATGTATTATTAGAAAATCTATTTTTAGTAGAATTCTGCCTTTACCATTAGAGATTTTGTTTTTATGATGTTTTTCCTTGTCATTGTGTTGTTAAAGAATATATACATTCCAAATAGTTACATTTCTCCAAAGTAAAAATATTATAAGAAGCAGATTTGCTTCTTTGCCAATTGTATTCAGTTATTCTTAAAACTCAGTTCCTCTAATCTACCAAGCTGTACACTGTGGATGTGAAGGGAGATTTTGTTTGTTTGTTTTCTCTTAATTGTATGATATATATGGCAAAAGGAGAAATAAAGGTAGTGTTTTTTTCAACACTTTCACTGTAGTATCAGAATGGTGTTGTCTAGTTCTCTTATTTAATGGTGCATTTGAGGCACTGAATATTACGGTGAAGAGATTTAAGTGAGTAAAGTGCTACGGGAGTGTTCAGTGCTTTGCTATGATTGGTCCCTAGAGAACTTAAGTCTGAGGGCATTTTGGCTAGACAAGGAGATCAGGAGGAATTACTGGCAGAATGAGAAGAGAAAAGCAGTGTAGGTTTGTGATAGAGCTTTGACGCTGAGGCCAGGGTGGAGGGCAGGAATAAGCTTTTCATTAGTCAAGAGCAAGAGGTGCCTTTTTTTCTAAGCTAGCTCATAAAGATATATTTAGCGAAACAATGTGGTGCTTTAAACAATTTATTTTTTTTTAATTTTACTTTAAGTTCTGGGATACATGTGCAGAATGTGCAGGTTTGTTACATAGGTATTTTCCCCTGTGCTGTTGTAATAAATGAGTTTATTTCTTTAATTTTCTTTTGTAAACTAGAAATATAAATTTTAAGTTAGTATATGTGAAGCAATTGTGGGAAAGCTGAGAACAAATGAATCATACAGCAGCTTTTTTTTGCTTTTGCTTTTATGCTTTTTATGGTTAAATTTCAATATGTTTTAATGTAGGAATATTTTACTTTCAAAACACTTGTTTCTGTATTAGCCTATGTACTTGCATAATGGAAAGTAATAACCATTTGCCAAAATATTATATGTACTCTTCTATAAGTTACCTTCTAGAAGGTAACTTCTATAAGTTACTGTAACTCTTCTATAAGTTATCTTCATACATGGGGTGATAGCACTCCTGTAGAGTAATTTTACCATAATAGTGAATGCTTAGCAAATCTTGGCTCCACAGTTAGATATAAGGACCTGAAACGCATTGTTTTTCTCCATCTTCAGAGCACCCTGAATGTCATTTCTCTGTCAGACAATACCTTGCACTAAGTTGGGTTTTAATAAGCCAGAAAAAGCAAAAAATGAAAATAAAAGATTGCTTCCCTACCTAGCCCGTTTTATTTCCAGTTCCTGTCTCATCTTTACCTGTAATTGAGAAATTCAAGGACCCTATGTTCTACACACGTGTAGATAGACAGAAACCACCATGGTGACAGAGGCACATATGCATGAATAACGGCAAAGGTACTGGTTACTAACATAAGGATTTTCTTGCATAAAACATAATTTTGGGGATTTGCAAGAATCTTTATCCTAGAGATTGGTAAAGAACAGTTACAATGTTTGTTCTTATGTACACAATATAACTTCCTTAGTAAAGTATACATATCCATTTTACCTCTTTGTATGAAACCCTACCACCATATTTATTTCTATTTTGTTCTCCTTGCCCTGCCTTATTAAGAATTGTAGAGGAACAATTAGAAGGCTGAACAAAGAAAATATTGGATCATTAGAGACTTTATATGGTATTTTTTTCACTGATGGCAATTGATGCAGAAAAGAAAAAACAATGTATTAATGGTATACCTAATTAACGGGGAGTTCATGATGTTCATTTTTCCTTTTTCTTCTAGCAATGGCTCAGCAACATCAGAAGACCTTTTTTGGAAGCTTGATGCACTGCAAATGTTTGTCTTTGATCTGCACTGGCCAGAACAGGAATTTGCCCACCACTTAGAGCAAAGACTTAAACTAATGGCCAGTGATATGCTAGAGGCCTGTGTCAAAAGGTAGACATGTATTTTCAAATTGCTGCTTAATGTGCCAGCACCCAAAAATATCACTTTTTATCAAGTACCTAATATATTATTGTCACAGCAAAGGTTTCATTATGCACCACTATTCCAACATTTAATGAGTATTAGGTTATCTTGATTAAATTCTGGGGACCCATGTAATTGATGAAATTGGCTGGATACTTTTTTTCAGGTCTCCCAACTATTGCCTTAATCAGTAACATCTATACCATATTAATGGTTTCTTTAGGGCTTATTGTTATCTCTCTGGGAATACTATGCTTTAAATTCCCAAGGTAATATCTCCTGAGACGTATGAAAAAGGTCTGTTATGTTCTGTATGCATTATGTACTGTGTCTGTGTGCTGTGAAATGGCATAGTAAACTCAAAATAGGATCAGCACCATCAGTTGTTCTGGGATTACTAACTATTTTCTGTCCACATCAGATGAGTTCCAACTATCTGCTTACATTCTTTATCACTTAACTGGAAATAAGTTATGAGGCTTCATATTCTTCCAAATGTGCTTTCATTTTATCGTAGTTTTAAAAAATCAGCTTTGCATCCTAATTGGTCAAGCATTTTTTTCCCATTGTCCTTGTTCATTATATATACAAGGACAATATGGAGCCACATATTAGAAAAGTGTTCAAACACTGGTTAGACCAATTGGATATTTCTGAAATCTTGAAACCAAGAAAAAATCTGTCTTTAGAATAATGTTCAGTGGCCCCTTAAGGCAAGGCCCTGGATTAGGTAGTTTAATGTTTTTTAAAAATCATCTTTGATTTTGATGTCTCGATTCTGTGGATTTTCATAGGATACTTCAGCAAAACCAATTCCAAATTGCTCATGATGCAGTTCCTTTCAAAAACCTGCCTGCAATTTTAGGTTTTTGAAAGAGAATGTAAGTGACATAAAAGAATTACACATTGTCTGTTGTACATTGATTACCATGTTTTAGGGTTTTCTAGGTTTGTGCTTATTTTTTCTAATTTGGTAAGACCTCACATAGAGGATATATTCTGCTTAAATGCATACAAGTGTGTGATTTTTCTACTTGGAAATTCAGACAATTAATTCAGACAATTAAGTGAAATTATGAGTTTTTTTTCCATTAAATGTGGTACTCTAGATATAACAAAAAGCTTCATTTGGGTGGCAATACTGCCTGAGTGACTGCATGAAGCTAGGCTTAATATAAAAATATGACAATCTGATCTTTCATTGAGACACTTGAAAAGAAAAGCATCCCACCCCTTAGCTCCCAAGCACTGCCACACTGCTTACTCCTTATTTGCATGTTTTAAATTAGCATCTTGTAGTGTTGATTTCACTTTTTACAAAACAGGTGAGCTGTATAGCAGAATTTCTTACTCTGAATTCATGTTTTAAAAACTAGAACAAGAACTGCATTTGAACTCAAGCTACAAAAGGCAAGCAAAACAACTGACTTGCGCATTCCAGCTTCCGTTTGCACTATGTTTAATGTATTAGTCGATGCCAAAAAGCAAAGCACCAAACTCTGTGCCCTGGATGGAGGACAAGAGGTATGTAGAATGTGCCACATGGGGAAAGGCAGCACAGGGTGCCTTGGCATGGGAAATGCCCTTTCCACAAGGCATTCTCTTGATTGGATTGAAAAGACCAAGTTCTCTAGCACCAAACGTTTGATCTTTACTATAATAACAGAATGCCCTTTATCCTTTGCTCATGTCAGTTTCTCCTTTTTGATATAAATATGGTCTAAAATTGCATTAGTGGCCATGAATTTTAGATATAGCTTTTAACAGCTGAAGTGTTGTGTCATTTACATAAACCTTGCTTTTTACAAGCAAATGAGAAAGCTGGAAAGCTACCTGTTTTGTTTATACAAATCTAGAGTATCCAGAGTTTGCATCTATAAAAGTAAGACACACGAAAAAGTGTGAAATAGTTTATTTACACAGTAGCTTCCATTTTTAAAAATTTAGGTTGAAATAGACTTAAAAATCTAGGCCTAGTTCTTATCAATAAATATCCTATTCTTTCTATTTTATTTATATTTTGTTTGGTTTTATATTCAGAAGTACAATTTTATTTTACCCCATGATTTTTTGTTGAGAGTGGTGATTGGGTGAAAATTGATTTATTTTTCTTCAATTATCTGTTTTAAGTTGATTTTGTTGCCTTTTTTTCCCATTGTAATTACTTTTTCTTCATTTCTTTATTCTTCCCTTCTGTTCTCTTTCATCATCTTTTTTTTTCCACCCATGGCATGATCCAGTTTGGTAGTCAATGGGTAAGTCTCATTTTTTTTTCTAAAAGCACATTTCATTTGAGTTATTATTTTTGTAAATGTATATTTTTTATTTTCATCTTTTCAAATTAAAATTATATAAATTTATTTTCAGATTTTTGGCTTCTGTGTTCGCATATATAAGGCTAACAGCTTACAATAACATAGCAATAGTCCAAAGATTCATGAAAACACTAAATACTTATACCTTAAATAATGACGAGGGAAATGTTTCTCCCCTGTTAGTCTGCAGAATTTATAAACTCCTCTTAGAATTTTAAAGATAAAATTATTTAAAACCAAATTAATTCACCTTCTTTTAAATTGAAATCTGAATAACTATAGGAGCAGAGTGATAATTAACATTTTTCAAGCATTTATCTACAGTATACTTTTAATACCAAAAGAATTTCAAGTTTGGAGCTTTAGATGACATATAGCCCCTAAAAACTTGAACCAGGAGGCCACACCCAAAGTCACTTCATACAGATGAACCCAGTGGTGGATTTCAGTGAGGTACAAGCCCACCAGTGATACAGTCTTTCCTCCCACTCATGGCCTAGGATGTGACCATCATCAGAGGTAAGGAAGAGGCAGGCCTGTGTCATGAGACTTCTGCCCTCCTCCACAACAGTTCGTCCTAAAATACTACCCCAGAATCCCTGAGGTACAAGGTTAGAAAACCTTTATGCGTAAAGGATTGACTAGTGTATACTTTTTTTTTTGTCGTGAGTTAGAATGTCTTTGTGTCCTGTAGGTAAGTTACATCTTACAAGTCTTACAGTTGACAATTGGGAATCAAACTCAGGGTGACTCTTCCTGGGCTGACAATTCTCATCTAAGCAGAGGGGCTTAGTTAACTGTGAAAATAGATGGGAAGGCCTACTACTTGTGAATTCTATACCTATTGCCCCAGGTATAGACATTAGCTATTTGGCCATAATTTATATTTATGCATGAATACACAATTTTATTCTTTGAGCAATTCAGCAGAAAAAAAAATGTATTTATATTACCATAGCATACAACCTTACACATATATCAGGTAACTGATATGTGTTATAGAATGTTCAGTAATTACCATTCTCTGATCACTTACAACATGATTTATTATATCTAATTATCTGAATAAGTAGGCAGCTAGCTTAGATACCAGTGGCTCCTATTTACCTCCTCATGTTTTTTTAATAACCAGATGTAAGCCTTTGATTGTCTGCCTGAGAATATTATCTTAGGTTTCCTCATAAACCCATTCTTTTCTCATCTGGTTTGTGGAATCATCTTCCATTCATACTGGGTTTATCCGTTTGTTCTTATTTTAACATACACTGCAGTACCTGACATGCAGTAGGCACTTTAGTAAATGTTTGCTGAGTGGATGAACAGATTTGTTGTCACTGCTTTAAAAATCCTCCCCTGTAAGAAACAACTTGCTGTAGTACTTAAAAGGAAAAACAGGCACACACACACACAAATGATGAACATTGTTACATTGTCAAATGATTCTTTACATTAATAGGTGGGTGGTTTTGAAGAGTAATCTACTACTGTTCATTATGTGTGCACCTGTACATTCACACCAGAGACAATTAGTTCCCCACAACTTTCACACAATTAACATAGTTCAGAATGTGCAGGTGTAAAACCCATTAGCAACCCTGAAAAAGTGGTAAACAAGAATTTCATTGCAAAAGAATTTTATACTTCGCTTTTTCTCTCCAGTAAACATACCCACATAATTGCATAGGCCTTCCCTCTGTATATATGCTGAGATAAGTTTCGGAATTGTTGAAAATTAGTATATACATTACATATACAGGTGAGCCAGCGGACCTCATTTATAAAAAGCAACAAAGTTGTTGAAAAAAACTAGATCATTAGACAATTTGGAACCATGTAAAAATATATACTACATAGTTAAACATAGCAGCAATGTTTTTTCTAAATTATAAAGAAATTACCTCTCCAAAATCTCTAGTAAATGTGTTATATTGTCATCGCTGGGATAAAACTTTCCCAACTCCTTCCTCACAATGCATTCCCTTCTGTGCTTCTAAATTATGATCCTGTTTTTCTTACATGCTACATGATGATGCAAACATGTTCCACTGAGGCCCAGAATAGGGTTTAATGGAGTGATTAGTGGGTGAATGATCTGCTCATGTGACAGCTGTGTGAAATGAGTCAGCAGTCTCAGGCCAGTCCCTCAGGGACAGATGTCGAGATCACAAAGCCACCTCAGTGTTTAGAATCCTCATTATCCGTAACTGCACAAAAGCAGATGACTACCTGGGCTGTAGGCATTCATCAGCCCTCAGAACCACTTCATTCCATGGTCCCATTAGTTGAGGATGAAGGTGAAAACACATTAATATGGCAATTCGGGGGAGCAAGGGGCCCTACTTGGGCCAAATTTGTTCTCAGTTAAATTAAAATGCATCCATTTCTGGAACTAACAATCCAGTACCTTTAAAATATTATATACCCCAAGACAAGGTCCAAAATCTTTTAAGAAAGCTGGAATTCACTGGCATCTGATTAGCCATTTCATGAGTGTCTTTGTGTAACAGCAGTCAGGTGAAGTGGTGCTGTTCACCTGATTGTAGAGAGGCCAGGATTTTGGACTGTGTCTGACCTGTGATTTCCCTGGGCTTCATGAAGTAAGGATTCCTGAATGGTTATCTTAATGTAAGTTCAGAATCACCTGCGGGAAAGCAGGCACAGTTTGCCTTTGAGGGCAGATGTGGAGAAACTTAACTTAAGAATGAATTGAAATCTAACAAAGCCCTAGAATCTAAGATTATCAATCCAACTTGAAGTATTCGAAGAATTTTATTTTCTTCTTTTAAATTTCAACTTTTGTTGTCGATATGGGGGTACATGTGTAGTTTTGTTACACCTGGGTATTGAGCATAGTACTCAATAGGTCGTTTTTCCATCCACATCTCCCTCCCTCCCTCTCCCCTCTACTAGTCCACAGTGTCTGTTGTTCCCATGTTTATGTCCGTGTGTTCTCAGTGTTTAATTCTCACTTATAAGTGAGAACATGCAGTATCTGATTTTCTGTTCCTGTGTTAATTTACTTAGGATTATAGCCTCCAGCTGCATCCATGTGGCTGCAAAGGATATGATTTTGTACTTTTTTATGGCTGTCTAGTATTCCATGGTGTATATGTACCATATTTTCTTTATCTGGTCTACCATTGATGGACACCTAGGTTGATTTCATGTCTTTGCTACTGTGAATAGCATGGCAATGAACATACAAGTTCAAGTGGTTTTTGTTTTTGTTTTTGTTTTCGTTTGTTTGGTTTAGTGATCTGTGTTCCTTTGGATATGTACCCAGTAATGGGATTGCTGATTCAAATGGTAGCTCTGTCTTAAGTTCTTTGAGAAATCTTCAAACTGCTTTCCACAGTGGCTGAATTAATTTACATTCCCACCAACAGTGTATAAGCATTACCTTTTCTCAGTATTTTTTCTTTTTTTGTCTCCTTCTGTTGCCCATGCTGAAGTGCAGTGGCATATTCATAGCTCACTGCAACCTTGAACTCAGGCTCAGGCGATCCTCCCACCTTGACTTCCTAAAGTGCTGGGATTACAGACATGAGCCACCATGCCCAGCCTCTGATAAAAATTTTATAGGTTTTTATTGTTGGAAACATTAATGTACCAAAAATGTTGTCTGTTATACTAAATGGGAAAAAAAACCTATCAATTTTAACTTAAAAATGTCTATGCAGATAAACTTTTACCTGTGATCTCTTTTTGCATGTTCATGTTTGTCTTTGAAAGTTATCTGAAAATTTCTAAAAAGCTGCTTTTATGAACTAGTTTAAGCACACCACTGATCTTAGAATGTTTTAACCATCCACTGAACACTCCTGTACCCACCCCAGATGAACACACAATAACCATTGTTATTTTGGCAGTTTTTGACTTGCCTTATTTTAAATGCGTGCACACACAAATATTACTTTTACAGATAATCATTAATTACATTTATTGACATATTTCAATTTCTGGTTTCATCCTTGTTCCTTCATTCTACAACTTCCTTTTATGTTAATTTGTCATTTTCCTGAAATACATTATTTAATACATTTTTTAGCAAGGATTAAAAAACACAGAAGAAGAAAAAGAAAGTTACCTGGGTCCCCTAATGAATGACTTTTTCTAGCTAATTTTGTATACCTATGTATGGCATATGTGAGTTATTGTCTGCAGAATATATATGTAAAATGGGAATTCTCGGGCCATCTTTTCTCTCACACTCATGTGCCTATACGACCTCCACCAACTGCACAGCCAGAGCAGATTCTGAAAGTTCCCAGCAGTTGTAATATTAGTGTAAGTCATATCTAACCAGATACATTTACAATAGCAGAATCCCATATTATGCAAATCTAAAAACCTCACACTATTTGGATTTACCCCTTGGGTATTAAATTTCAGATGTATACTTCTTTATTCCTTTGTTTTTAACATTGTATGTGTTTGTTTTTGTTCATTCATTCTCATTTTCTCTCCCTCCCTCCCCATCTCTTCCTCTTTTTCTCTTTGTCTCTGCTTATGGCTAGATCAGGTATCAAAGCAAGCAACAATCTACGGGAGTGTATTATAGGAGAATTTAATGGTTCCTAGTGTCCACTGACTTTCACTGCTTTTCAAGAAAATGGGTATCAATGACCTCTTTTGTGGCTCGTCCCTTGATTTTAAGATTTGCCAGAATCAATTCAACCCAAAAGTTTAACATGTAGAAGCTCTGTATTTTATATACAATAGCTTTCTGATGACATTTGATCACTTTGAATTCAAAAAATGGAAGTTATGAAAACAGAGAAAAACATTGGGGATAAGGCATGTTTAGGAACCTGCCTGGAAGTCTGGGTGCCTCAATGCCTGCATGCTTTGGAGCACTTTCCATGTAAGAGGGAAGTGAGATGCTTGAAGCCCAACTCCTGTATCTCTTTCCTCTTCTACCCCTAAAGAGGTGTATCACGTGGCATTTAATTTCCTCTTGCTGAATACACTGATCTGGAGCAAGAAGGACGTGAAACAAGAGTGGCAGAGTGGGAGAGCCAGGCAGAGCTCATTTGCATAAGCTTCTCCATCGCACAGTCAGCTGCACAGCTTTCAGCCAGGAGCTGGGGGGCCTTTTTTGTAAGTGTGTCTGTGGAGGGATTACCCTACCCATCAGCCAGTGCACTGGAATTGTTCAGCTGGTCTCAGATATGTTCATGTGTGGACCTGTCTGGCTCAGAAAATTATTAATAATTTAGACTGGATCAGAAGTTTAACTGCCAGCCAGCTTTTTCAGGCTCTTTTTCTTCTACCTGTTTTTCTGTCTTCTCTCCCCTTTTCTCTCCCGTTTTCCTTCTCTTCAAGCTATCTCGAAAGCAAAAATATCAGCACTACTGGAATAGAAATCCACTCTCTATGTTTCAATTCCATTTATCCTCTGGGGAGCACAAACTTGGGAATCAATAAAGGCTTTAAGTGAGACAGACATGCTTTAGTGGGTGCAATATGTGCCCAGAAAATTCCACATTCACATCAGTGTGGTTAATTTTAGATCACTCATCATTATGCACTTATATTCACACCCACACACACTCAGACTCACACAGAAAAAGAAAATAATTCAGACACTCCAAAATTATCCTTCCTTTCTTTATTATTTATGCAGGTTTATGATAACCACTTGTAACTGTCAGAACCCTTGGGGAGAGGGGTGGAGTGTCATTCCTGAGTATTCCAAAGCAGACCTAAGTTGATGTTTTGTACTGTGTGGAAACTTTGAGACATGTTTTCAGCACAAAAAAAAAAAATAGCTTTCAAAAACTTACATCTTAAGAAACCATTCAACCAGCAGTGAAGTTGGTCTAATGTTTATATTGACCTGAGTACTTTTACTCTATGCATTTTGTTAGCTGTTCCAAGAAGCCTTGAACCATCAAGATAGGGTTAGTCTTTACAAGTCACATTTTCTGTGAAGTGGCTATTGGGGACAATCAGTTGTCAGATAAATGCTTCTAAAGGAAGAATTACTGTTTAAATGGATGTGCCTTCACAAGCCTTGGAAGCCAAAGCTTCTGCTAATTTAAGAATGGAGCCCTCTAGTATTCTCTAAAGAAAGAAAAAAAAAAGTCTTTCAGGTTGATTTTAAATACATCTTTTTTTGGTATTTATTTAAAGGCATCTTTTTCATGAGGAAGCGGTAATAAAACTATGGGGAGTGAGTGATGTTTCATTATACCTTTTATGGCCTATTAATTTGTTACCATCTATTCACCTTTGTTGATGAAATTCTAATTTTGCCCTTGCTCGAGCATATTGTAAGAATTGTATAAACTGCTGCTCCCTGTGCTGACAAAAAGTCCTTTTAGAGTGAACAATTGGGAGCTCATTTTATTTCTAGAGCACATTTAAAATAACTTATGAATGAGAGTTGTCAGACATGAAATGCAGTATTAATTAAATCTTTTTCTAGTCTTTTTGCTTCTCCAGCTAAACCAACCCTTTAGAAAAATACATGGCCACCTTAATTATAGAGGAGAAGACAAAAAGTATCCTTCACATTCCTCTGCCTGAATAAGAATAAGAACTCAATTCATCTAAATAATAACCCCATTAGCTGCTTAACTCAACAGTGCACATGGGAAAATTTTCAAACCACAATGTAAAAAGTGTTGACTGGGTGGATCATTTTCAAGGTTTTGTTCTTTTAATGTTCTAAATGATCATTTTAAATAAATCTGATAGGTCATAACTAGTAGATTTAGAGCATTTATGACTGATGACAAAAGTTTTGTGTCCATGTCAACTAATGAGTTTTTATCTTTTAATATCTAGCAACAGTACCATTCAAAAATAGATGATCTGATCGACAACAGTGTAAAAGAAATCATTTCACTGTTAGTTTCAAAGGTAATGTATTATTTATTCACCTTTTTAAATCAAAGTGAAAAATTGTCAATGGAGAATTTTTTAATGTTTTTAAATATCTAATTGAGAAAAAATGTAGTTTAAAAGATTAGGGCAGGAAAAAATTAGAATTTTCAGAAAAGTTGGGAGCAAAAAAAGGTTAGGAACACTATGTCAACAGCTTTTGTTTTTTTGTATATAATAAATTTTGGCTTTTCCTACAATTGTTGTCATTTTAAAACTAACTCTTCTTCCAGTAAAACCTTATTGTGTCACATTCATGTTCTTATGCTATTTATTTTAACTCCATAGCAGCCTTGAGTAGTCATCAGTCCTTGAATTTAGCCCATCTGTAGTGGCGATGGCACTAAGGCTCTAGATCTGTTCTCAGAGACAGAGAAAGCTGCAGGGTGACATCTGAGGTCCTCCACGCCCAGGAGTTTCCCAGGATTTCCAATTTGATGCTCAAAATACCTTTGATGAAAGCGATGATCTTTCACTGTATAAGTAGAGATGAAGCAGTGGGCGCATCATTTAGTGATTAGATGATTTAGATTCCCTCTAAGGTGTAACAGATGGTCATGAGTAGCATATGAGATCGGGGGCTGATAAGGAAAGGAAGAGAGAACATGAGAGCACCAGGAGTTTAAGAGGATGAACAGAGAGAATGGTCATGTTCCTAGAGGCACTTTCCTATAAGCAGATATATCCCATGCTCTCACAAGGCTTCATCAAAAAGCCCCAAATCAGGCTTCTTCATAAAACAACTGGAAGGATGACAAGAAGCAAAGGTAAAACCGCCCCCAATTTAATAAACAGACAAAAGACATCCTGTTTAGAAAAGAAAAAATAGAGCTGCCCCATGAACATGAAAAATGTTAATCCTCATTAATAATTTAAGGAATGCAAAGTAAGCTACAATAGTATACTATTTTCTCTAGCAAATTAGCATACATGTTTTTAAAGTAACATTCAGTTTCAGGTGAGGCAAGACACTCACCTTTCCTACATAGGGGAGTATAAATTGTTACAGCCTTTCTGGAAAATAGTTTGGAAATACATCAAGTACATTAATACCTTTTCACCTTTTTCTATTTTGTCATACTGCTTAGATGCACAAAATATATATTATTGGTACTTGTCACATTATGTCTTACCAATATTTGGAAACAACCTTAATTTCTAATGAGGGAAAAGGTAAAGCAAATTATGGGACATCTGTATTAAGAAATGATACTTTCAAAGACTATTAATGATAAATGAAGAGTTTCGTAATATAGTATTAAGTGAAAACAGCTGAATATTTAAAAGTGTAAAATATGATCTGAATTTGCATCTTATAGGAAAAAGACTGTTAGGATAAACACCAGAATGTTAACAGAGCTTTTCTCTGGGTAATGGGAGTATAGTTCATTTTTCATTTCATCTTCATTTTTTTTGTAGTTTTCAAATTATCTCATGGCATGTCTTAGAGTGGAAAACAACCACAAAGAAAAACGATGTTAGAATCACACCACCTCACCAGCTTATTTTTGTTCTCCTGATTTTTACCACTGCACCAAATACCTACAGATACAGATACCTCACACACTCACCAACAAGTGGATAGATAGAGAAAAAAATAATAGGAAAACCATGGGGGGAAGGGGTGAACTACTGGAGAATCAAGTTCTTTGAGGAAGAGCAGTGAGATTTCCACCCTCTGAGGAGCCCAGCACAGCAGCTTGCATCACCACGCAGTCAACGCACTACAGTGAAATAAAGTTAACTTTGCACCTTCTTCTCTGTGAGGCCTTCAGGGAAATTTTATCCAGATATAACCAACCCGTGAACATAGTCCTCATGCGGAAGTTGCCTTTTGTGAGAAGTTTGCATAATCGGCATCATTCAATTACATGCTAGCTATAGATGATATAAGGTTTATCAGGCAGCAAGGAAAAAGTCCAGCAAGTTTTGCTTTGGGAGTGGGAAGGAAGAGTACAGAGAAGGCAGATGGGGCTGCATGTCATCTCTGCATCCATTTCTGGCAAAGTAAGACACTTAAATTTTTCTATATCAAATACATCAGGTTAATTTTAAAAATAGTGTATTTGAGCTAAGTAAGGAAAAGATATTCTAAAATAACCTGCACAGTCCACCAGTGGCTACTAGCCACATGTGGTTGTGGAGTACTTGAAATGTGGCTAGTGAAGCTGAGAAATTAAATTTTTAATTTAATTTTGATTAAAAGAGCCTCGTATAATACTGGATATTATATTTAGAAATCAGCACTAGGTTATAGTTTTCCTCTATGCCTAATTTCTCCTGCTGTCAAATCGTACTTATCTTTAATTCTTTGGTTGAAAAGTATAAAATAAGTTTACTTGATAGGTTGAACCAAACATCTCAAGCTTCTATAAGAGATGACAATAATTGATGTTTTTTAAAAAGATGATGCAAATTAATCTCCATAATTATGATATTTTTAAAACCATTTTATTGAGATATTAACAGACAGAAAAATTGTACATGCTTAATATATACAAGATGAGTTTGTAGGTAAGTATACAACCATATAAGTTTATAATCATAAAACCATCACCTCAAACTGTACCATAAACGTATCCATCACCTCCCAAAGTTTCCTCCAGCCCTCTTAAATAATTATTTCTGTGTGTGATAACAGTCACATAAGATCAATCCTCTTAGCAAATAGTGTTGTTTTCTATAGGCCCTATGCTGTACAGTAGCTCTCCAGGACTTATTCATCATGCATAACTGAGACTGCTTTTGACAAATATCTCTCCATTTCTCCCTCCCCTCAGTCCCTGAGAAACCAACATTTTACCCTCTGCTTCTGTTATTTTGACTATTTTAAATTCCTCATATAATTGGTACTATGTAATATTTAATCTTCTGTGTCTGAATTATTTCACAGAGCATAATATATTCCAGGTTCATCTGTTTGTCTCAAGTGGCAGGATTTCCTTCTTTTGAGGCTGAATAATATTTCATTATATGCACATAACTCATTTTAATTATCCATTCACCTGTCTCATGGATATTAAAGTTGCTTCCAAGTCTTGCCTATTGAGAAGAATGCTGCAAAGAAATGAGAGTGCAGATATCTCTCTGATATACTAATTTCAATTCCTTTGGCTATATACCCATTAATGGGATCGCTAAATCATATGGTAGTTCTATTTTTCATGTTTTGAGGATTCTACACACTATTTCCCATAGTGGCTACACCAATTTACATATCCACCAACAGTGGGCATTTTCTTCACATTCTCACTAATACCTGTTATCTTTTGGGTTGTTGATAATAGCCATCCAAACAGATGTGAGCTAATATCTCACTGTGATTTTGATTTGCATTTCTCCAAAGATTAGTGATGTTAAGCTCCTTTTCGTATACCTGTTGGCCATTTATACATGTTCATTAGAGATGTAGTGCTTTGCTCATTTTTTTAATTTTTAATTTTTTTTTTTTGGCTATTGAGTTTTAGATGTCAACTCCTTATCAGACAAATAGTTTGTAAACATTTCCTCCCATTTTGTAGGTTGCCTTTTCATTATGTTGATTGTTTCCCTTGCTGTGCAAAAGCTGTTTTACTTGATATAATCTCATTTTAAAAAATATTTTGTTGCCTGTGCTTTTTGTATCATAGCCAAGAAGTCATTGCTACGGCCAATGTCAAGAAACTTTTTCCCTATGTTTTATTCTAGAAGTTTTATGGTTTGAGGTCTTAAGTTATTTAATCCATTTTTACTTGATGGTGTTTAGTTGATGGTTTTGTTGATCCATTTGTTTATGTTGTAAGATAAGGGTCAACTTTTATTCTTTTATTCTTTTGTATGTGTACATCCACTTTTCCCAGCACTATTTATTGAAGAAACCATCCTTTTCTCTTGACACTCTTGTCAAAGATCAGTTGACCGTATGTGTGTGGGTTTATTTCTGAGCTCTCTGTTTTGTTCTATTGGCCTATACATCTGCTTTTATGCCAGTAACGTTGTTTACATTAAAAAGTTTACTTAAAAAAGTTAACATTGTTTACTTTTTTGATTATTTTAGCTTTGTAATAGATTTTGAAATTAGGAAGTGTGGTGCCTCCAATTTATTCTTTTGCTCGGAATTGTTTTGGTTATTTGAAGCTTTTTGTGGTTCCAGATGAATTTTAGGATTGGATTGCTTTTTCTGTTACTTTAAAAAAAATGCCATTAGGATTTTGATAGAGATTGCATTAAATATGTAGATCACTTTAAGTAGTATGGACATTTTGACTATAATAATTATTGTAATTCATGAACATGGGATTTTTTTATTTATTTGTTGTCTGCTTTAATGTCTTCAGTGTTTTATACTTTTCAGTGTACACATTTTTTGCCTTCTTGGTTAAGTATATTTCTAAGTACTGCATTATTTTTGATGCTATTGTAGATGAGATTGTTTTCTGAACTTCCTTTCCAAATAGTGCATTGTTAGTATACAGATATATGAATGACTTTTTAAAATTATACTTTAAGTTCTGGGATACATGTGCAGAATGTGCACTTTTGCTACATAGGTATACACCTGCCATAGTGGTTGTTGCACCCATCAGCTCGTCACCTACATTAGGTATCTCTCCTAATGTTAGCCCTCCCCTATCCCCACAGCCCCCGACAGGCCCCAGTATATGATGTTCTCCTCCCTGTGTCCATGTTTTCTCGTTCAACTCCCATTTACAAGTGAGAACATGCGGTGTTTGGTTTTCTGATCTTGTGATAGTTTGTCTGTGATTTTTTTTCTGCAACTTTACTGAATTTGTTTATTCTAACAGTTCTTTTTTGTAGAGTCTTTAGGGTTTTCTACATATTAAGATCATGTAATCTGCAAACAGAGATAATTTTACTTGTTCTTTCCTGATTTGCATGCCTTGTATTTCTTTTCTTTTTCTTCTTTACTTATTTATTTTATTTTATTTTATTTTATTTGTCTACTTACTTTGGCTAGGACTCCCAGTACTATGTTGAATAGAAGTGGTAAGTGTGGGCATCCTTGTCTCATGCTGTATCTTAGAGAAAAAAGTTATTTTTTCACCACTGAATATGATGTCAACTGTGAGCTTTTCATATAGCCTTTATTATGTCGAGATAATTTCATTCTGTTCCTAATATTTTGAATGCTTTTATCATGAAACATTACTTAGTTTTGTCAAGTGTTTTTCTGCATCTATGGAGATGATCTTGGTGATTTTTATCCTTCATTCTATTAATGTGGTGTGTCATAACAACTGACTTGCTTATATTCAAACATCCTTGGATCCTAGGGATCAATCTCATTTGGTGATGGTGTATGATTTTTTAATGTGCTGTTGAATTCAGTTTGCTAGTATTTTGTTGAAGATTTTTGTATCCATGTTTATCTTGGCTTATAGTTTTCTTTTCTGGCAGTATCTTTTGTCTGGCTTTGGTATCAGGGTGATGCTGGCCTCATAGAATAAGTTTGGAAGTGTTCCCTCTTCTGTTTTTTGGGGTTTTTTTTGGTAGTGTTTAAAGAGAATTGGCATTAATTCTTCTTTAAATGTTTGGTGGAATTCACTTCTTTAAATGTTTGGTAGAATTCACTTTTGAAGCCATTTCTTTGTTGAGAGGTTTTTGAATACAGATTGAGTCTCCTTATTTGTTATTGGTCAGCTTTATTTTATTCTTTTGATGGTGTCATGTTTCCCTGATTCTTCATGATCCCTGTAGCCTTACATTGGTATCTGCACCTTTGGAAAAACAGTGACCTTTTCCACTATTTACCGATTGACTTCAGCAGGAAAAGCCCTGGATCACTCACCCCAGCTAGAAATGTTGTGTGGGCCAGCTGTTAGGGCCTTTGGGCAGGCGTGATACCAGGGTCCACAGGCAGGATAGATTGTGGTTTTATTTCATTAAGAAAAACTAAAACATCTTGTAAGGCAATGATTCTTAAATGTTAGCACACATACACAAAAAAATTACCTGAGAACTGTTAAAATGCAGATTTCCATACCCCAATCTCCAGTGATGCTGAGTCTTAAGTTTGGGAAGAGGGGAAGGAATGTGCATGTTTAACCAGCCACCATGGTTATTTTACAATAGGGAACCATGAGCCAGACTTTGAGAAACACTGCTCTGGTGAATCTTCATCCAGACTGGCATGTAAACCTTTAAACTTCAGGATATTAAAAAAAAAATAGCCTATAAGACAGTTTGTTCACACTTGTTTTTACCAAGGAAGAAATGACTTTTTTAAAAGAGTTATGAAGTACCTACTGTGAAACTGCCACTGTAACTGTACATTTGTGACTTTATTTAAGCCTTATAAAACCTATGAAATGAACATAGAATAAAGTAGTTTGCATAAAATTATATATTGTGACTCTGCCTCTAATGAAATGGGCAGTCTTATCCTCAGTCACTGATAGGAACATAGTTCTCAAAGTCCTTTATTAAACTGATGAGCATCAAACACCTAATTAATTAGTGAGAATCAGGATCCAAACCTCTGAGCTTCAGATCCTTAATCCAATGCACTTAACTGATTCTACGTCTCTGGGAAATCTGTAAAGAGCAACCAGCCCATAAAAATTAAAATATGCGGTTTCTATATTAACTGTTACTACACTGTCAAATTCTAAGAGTCATGTCGTAGACATTTTTATATCATAATAATTAACTCAACATAAAGTAGATGAAAATAACAGTGAATTTCTCGTATCCCAGATATTTCTTTCAATATTTTAATTGTTCTGTGCATATTCACAAATATATTTGCTACATCTGGATAAAAATAAACTGCACTTTCTTCTTTTTACCTCTCCTCTTCAAGGCTACCTTTAGATCCTCTTCTTACCTCACATATTTCCACAAATAACATGAGAACGAGCCCAAGTTCTCAATCACACACAGTACTAAACAGTATGTGTCCCTCCCTACTATATACACATTTTATGTGCCTAGAAAAGGTCTTGGCCTTCCCTCTCTGTGCCCTTCTCTCTCCACTGGCAACTAAATGCTGTTACTTCTTGGGCCACCATCATTGGTCCTCTATTGAACTTTTTCTACAAATTTCTGTGACTTTTCCACTTCCAGCTTTAACTCTATGCTTGTGATTCCCAGCTCTGTATGTGAAAGGCAGTGCAGAATAGCAATTAAAAGCCCAACTTCTGACCTGGGTTCAAATTTCAACTCCTCCACTAGCTGTCTGATCTTAGTCAAGTTACTTAAACAAGCTTTCTGTGGCTCAGTTTTCCTCTCCTATAAAGTAGGAGTAATATAATAGTAGCATTTATTAGTGTTAGTGAATAGTAAGTATGTTAATACAGATAGAGTCTTAGAACAGTGGCCAATGCATTGTTAAATATTAGTTGATATTGTTATTATTGTTCCTCTAATTTTTATCACCTAAAATCCCGTATTTCCAGTTGCTTTCTGTACATCTCTACAAGGTCAGAGTCTAAAAATACCCATATCACCTCCACCCCACCCCAGGTGCCTCTTGTTTTGCATTTGCTGTCTCCATTGGCAGTACTGATCACCCCATTGTAAAATCTCGTCATCCTAGTGTCCCTGTCTTTATAGAATCTGCTCAAGCACATCACACAGGAGGACATCAGGGCCTTGAGTCAGTCTCCTAAACACTCCCTTTTCTGCCTCATTCCATTCTCACTGGCAGTACTATAGTCTTCAGGCCCTCATCATTTCCTCATTTAAATTCTTGCCTTACTGATCTCCACCATGGTCCCCCACTTCACCCTTGATATGGTTTGGCTGTGTTCCCACCCAAAATCTCATCTTGAATTATAATCCCTATAATCCCCATGTGTCAAGGGTGGGAGCAGGTGGAGGTAATTGGCTCATGGAGGTGGTTTCCCCCATGTTATTCTCATGATAGTGAGTGAGTCTCACAAGATCTGATGGTTTTATAAGCATCTGGCATTTCCCCTGCTTGCACTCACTCCATCCTGCTGCCCTGTGAAGAAGATGCCTGCTTTTCCTTTGCCTTCCGCCATGATTGTAAGTTTGCTAAGGCCTCCCCAGCAATGCAGAACTATAAGTCAATTAAACTTCTTGCCTTTATAAATTACCGAGTCTTGGGTGTTTCTTCATAGCAGTGTGTGAACAGACTAATACAGCCCTGAAGCCAGAGTATCTTTCCAAAATACCGATTTGACCATTTATTGCCGATGCTTCATATGTTGTAGGCATTCCTTATTCCCTGTGCCATCATTTCCTAAATTGTGTCTCAGGACACCTTGTACTTGAGTTTTGTTGATGTCCCATGAGATGAGGTTACTAACCCATTTGGGGAACACTGTATTCCTTGTAGTTCAGGATGTAGTGTTTGAGAGTGCAGTGTTCCTACACTTAACCTGTCCTGGGGCCCTTTATTCTGGAATTCCTAATAATATCTTGCAGGAATTAATATTCCTTAGAATATAGTTTGTGAAAGGTTGACCCACAAGAAAAACTTTTTAGCATCACCTACAAGTCCCTTCACAGTATAATTGCTCTTGTCCCCATAACACTCTCCCCCACATCTTAAACTCTAGCTATTCCAAAGTTCTATTGGTTTCATAGTTTTTCCAGACCCTTGTGCCTTTTCACTTCTGCCCCCTACTTGAAGAGCCCTTTTTTGCTTTCTTCTGATAATTCAACTAGAAAAGTCTTGGTTTGCTCTCCTTTCTAGAAGACATCTTACATCTTCCTAAGCAAATTTAGCCCTCTCCTTACCCAATGCCCTCTGTGCCCACTTTCTCTGCCATTTCTTCATGGTTATGTGTGTGTCTCTGAATCCTCTTTATCTATTATTCTTTGTACACTGCTTGTCATATAATCCAGTAGATGAAAGTAAATCTGGAAAATGCTAAAGGAATGTGCTCTGGCATCAATACTCCAGTTCTTGTCTCTAACCTAGAACATAAAGTACTTTGCATAAAATTATATACTGTGACTCTGCCCCAAATGAAAAAGGGCAATATTCATTTTTTAAAAAGGATTGAAATTCACAGCCATGAGGCAATGTAGAGTTTCAGGATGCAGCTCTGTGCCAGAAAGTATGCTCAATGCCAGGGATACAGTGCTAAGCAAAACAGCAGGGTCCCTGCCCTCAAGGAGTTTGCTAACCCTTGGAGGAGACACACTAACAAACATAAAATGCAAGCCATACAAATGTGTCATGTAGGATAATCTGTGACCGAGTAACTCATTTAGTCAGGGAGGACAGGAAAAGTTTTCCCAAGCAAGTGAAGCTTGAGCTGAGTTCCTAAGAATGAAAGAGTTAACCAGGAGAAGAGAGATGAAAGGACCATTTAAGTAAGAGAAACTGCAGAAACCAGGGCCTGGAGCAAGACAAGGCTGCAGAAGTGAGCAGAAGCTTGTAGGAAGTGCTAAGGAGCTTAAAGTCTTTATCCCAAGAGCAATGGGAAGTCACTGAAAGGTTGGAGAGTGTGGGTAGGGAATTAATCAGATTTGCATTATAAGAAGATTCATCTGACTGCCTGTAGCAAACAGATTGGAGAGGGGATAGTGTAGAAGCTGTTACTTGGTCTCTGTTGAACTAATCCAAAGACATTTCAGATGTACAATGAAAAGGGAAATAGTAAGGAGTACTCTTAGGTTTATGGCCTGAATGTTAGTATCATTCCTAGATGCAGGCTGTCCTGGAAGAGAAACAGATTTGGAGAGAAAGACCATGATGTCAGTATTGGACATGTTGAGATTGAGCTGCCTTTGAGACACCTGAGGGAGGAGATGTCAAGGAGGATATTAACTATTTGGGTCTGGAGCTCAGAGGAGGGATATGGGGTCAAAATATTGATGTGATTATAAGATTTCAACAATTGAAAAAAGGACTGTATCAGCAGCCACTGTTCTCAGGCCAAGGTGCTGTAACTGGAACACCTATGGAAAAGAGGGAAAGTAACCTTAAAAGAAAGGGGAAGACTGGGCGCAGTGGCTCACGCCTGTAATCCCAGCACTTTGGGAGGCTGAGGCAGGCGGATCACGAGGTCAGGAGATCGAGACCATCCTGGCTAACACGCTGAAACCCCGTTTCTACTAAAAAATACAAAAAATTAGCCGGGCATGGTGGCGGGCACATGTAGTCCCAGCTACCGGGAGGCTGAGGCAGGAGAATGGCGTGAACCCGGGAGACGGAGCTTGCAGTGAGCCGAGATTGCGCCACTGCACTCCAGCCTGGGCGACAGAGCGAGACTCAAAAAAAAAAAAAGGGGGGGGGGGGGGGAAACAAAAATTCTTCTAGCCAGAAAGACTTCAATAATTTTTACCAAGGGAAAAAAAATAGGAGCATTAAATCTTACCAAGGAAAGGGTACAAGAAATGTCATATTTATTGCCACTTTATATTAAAATTAAACCAACCGAAGTGTGGGATCATCAGAAAAGTTGGATTCTAGTCCCATTTTCTTATGTTACCAGCTGGGTGTCCTCACATGACTTATTTTCCTCATCAAAAAAAGTGGGGGTATTGGGTTTTTTAAAAACTGACAGCCTTTTCTCAATCTAGAACAAAAGTCCTACGCACATATCTGCATGGAGCCTGCTGGTGGCCTGCATCTGTTGTCTCCAGGCTCTAGAAACTCATGGCGCACGGAATGCTGGATTTGGAAGAGTCCTGAGGTCATCTACTAGGGACTTTTCAAACATTTTTATAGTTTTAAGATACATTTTTATATGCTTTAAAAATGTTTATAAAATATATTAATGTCTCAAATGTATATTAGCACTGCAAAATATAACACCAATCAAAGCATTGATGTCAGTCTGATTAAGAAGGGAAAGGAGGCCTGGGGCCCTACCTGGGTGGCCTCATGTTTCAAGGCAGGACTAGTCACCAGTCCAGTCTCCCTGTTCACAGATGAGGAAACAGAGGCCCAAGGCCACACAATAGATGTCAGCAGAGCCAGGATTTGGCCCCTGTGGTCCCTAAGCCTATGATCTCTCCACAACACCATGCAGAACTCAGCAAGACCAGGGAGGGAAAGAGTGATAGCTTCACCTCCAGTCCTCTTGTGTCCCTTTTATATCTGGGTTGTACCAGCCAGCCTGTGGGTCCCTCCATGCATACATTCTGTGAGACCAGCTTGTAGAGTCCAGCTAGAGTAACCAGGTGGGGCAACTCTAAGTCAGGTAGATGAAAATGGGATACCTTATATATAGCAATGAAAATGCCAAGGCTGGGTGCAGTGGCTCACACTTGTAATCCCAGTACGTTGGGAGGTCGAGGTAGGCAGATCACTTGAGGTCAGGAGTTCGAGACCAGCCTGGCCAACATGGCAAAACCCTGTGAGATAACAATTATTCAGGTGAGCCCAATGTAATCACAAGGTATTTAAAAGGGGAAGGAGATGGCAAAAGAAAAGAGTCAGAGAGAAAGATGAGATGGCAAAAGCAGGGTTAGAGAGATGCTATGTTGCCAGCTTTGAAGATGGAGGATAGAGACCATGAACCATGAATGCAGGCAAGAAGCTAGAAAAGTGAAGAAAACAAATTCTCCCCTAGAGCCTCCAGAAAGGAACTCAACCCTATTGACACTTGAATTTTAGCCCAGTGAAGCCTTTGTTAGGCTTCTGAACTACAGAACTATACCATAATAAACTTTTATTGTTTTAAGCAAAAAAAAAAAAAAAAAAAAAAAAAAAATTAGCTGGGCATGGTTGCACATGCCTATAAACCTAGCTACTCAGGAAGCCGAGGCACAAGAACACTTGCACTCAGGAGGCAGAGATTGCAGTGAACTGAGATCACGCCGTTGCACTCCAGCCTGGGTGACAAAGTAAGACTGTCTTAAAAAAAAAAAAAAAAAAAAAAAAACTGGGGGAAGGTTTAGAATATGGTTAACAGAGCCAAGAGTGAAAAAAATGACAACTCTCAGAAAGCACTGCTGAACAGGGCCTCCATCACTTCTGGGTATGAATTAAAAGATCATTTCTGTAATATCCAACTTCCTAGATTCTCAATTATTGCCAAAAAAAAAGGATTTAGGAAATAATATACACTTTTCCCACAACTATATTGATACAGATATACGGGTATATATACATTCTCTCTCTCTCTCGCTTTCTCTCTCTCATAACTTAGAATATTTTCCCCTGGATTTCTCTTAAGAATAGGATAGATAGAAGATAAATCTGATCTGACTGCCTAGATTATGTAATTAAAGTTTCTTGTTAATTTAGCCTGGTGAAATTAATTGCATTAAACTTACTCAATTTACTTGTTTGGATCAAGGCCATATATTCAGAAGGCATCTGTTAAAATCCAAGTATGTGCCCAAAAGGAATAGCATACGATATTAGGAGCCTTTAGCAGAGAGAGAATGCAAAGTAAAATAGTTCACTTTATTTGTGGAGGAACAATGAAAGGAAGAGTGAGAGAAAACAGTGTGGTGAATTCACCAACATCTGGTCTAAGTGTGCTGTTTTAGAAGTTGTCCTAGATACTTTGCAGAACAAGGTATGTTATGAATAAATACCTGCTGTCAAACACTCCCTCCTTCCTATAACGTGCAGGATCTGGTAAGGCCTTTTAGGAGTCAGTTGGAATAAAGCTTCAAATAAGTAGTTTCGCAGCTGGATTCACAGAAAGAGGATGGGAAAGAGACAATTGTATTGTGTTATTATACATATATGTGTGTATATATATATGTATACGTATATATATATATACGTATATATATATATATGTATGTGTGTATGTATATATATGTGTGTGTGTGTGTGTGTGTGTGTGTGTGTGTGTGTATTTTTGAGATGGAGTCTTGCACTGTTGCCTGGGCTGGAGTGCAGTGGCGCAATCTCGACTCACTTCAACCTCCATCTCCCAGGTTCAAGCGATTCTCCTGCCTCAGCCTCCTGAGTAGCTGGGATTTCAGGCGCCCGCCACCATGGCCGGGTAATTTTTTTTTTTTTTTAGTAGAGATGGGGTTTCACTATGTTGGCCAGGCTGGTCTCAAATGCCTGACCTCGTGATTCACCCACCTCGGCCTCCCAAAGTGCTGGGATTACAGGTGTGAGCCACCACACCTGGCCGCCTCGTATTATTTTATTATCATATATTAACGTTCTGATTTAGGGAAGACAACCTATTTTCTCCTAGTTCATGATATTCTGGAACTGTGTTCACATTTTTTAAGAATATGTTACTAAAACAAGTTTATTTTTAATTTTTAAAAGTTTTTTAACTAAATTCATGGAGTACATGTGCAGATTTTTAACAATACTAGTTAGTCCTGATCTTAACAAAAAAAAAAACAAAACAGCTATCCCATCCTCCCCCACAGAAAACACTTAGTTTTTCATTATCAGCCATACTAGGGATGTTTGTGTTTTCTGTGGAAGATTTTATAACGTGCAGTGTAAATGATGCAAATATTCCTTGTTTATTTCATGAAGTGTCACAGCTAAAAATGCAAGAACTGTTCGTTTTGAACCCTAGCTGGAATCCTCCCGTCACTTAGAGTTTATGGTTCTACCTTCCATATGAATCTTATATGCTGTCAAAATCAACAAGAAATGTAAATGCACATGCCTTGAAGCACTCTTCATGTTTCCTTCTACCAGTCACTTCCAAGAGTTTCATGAGACAAAGTCAGTAATTACCCAGGCAGACTTTAGGTGTTAAATATTTTTCAAACAAGCCCAGTTAATGGCATCAGTAATAAAGAGCAGGGCAACAAAGAGATTACAGTGTTTCATTCCAACCCGACACCCTCAGGAGAACAGACAGCACAAAGGCAAACCCATAAGTGTTTATATACTCCCTGAGCTGTACAGAGAAAGTTCACAGGAAGCAGTTAAAGATGCAGCAACTAAACCCAACATTTAACTGGGTTTCTTTGGAATCTTGCTGTTTTATGCAATTAAAAGCCAGGTGGAAGGTATATCGTTACTAGTCAATCTTGATGTTTATAATAGAGTTTGATTTTTAAGGTAGCTCTTCTACTAGGTGTGCCTCAACAAAAATCTTACAAAGAAAACTTTCCTGTAGGAACTGTACACCTCAGCTGGTTAATCCCACAGGTGCTGTCGCTGCTCACTGCCATGTAAGCACTTAGATTCCCAGCTGTATTGAGCCTCCCCAGGGACCTTTAGGGATAGGGAGGAAGCTGAGGAAAGACTCTCCACTACTTTTGAAATGGAGACAAAGAATGCTGAGACATGAATGCAGCAGACCACAGGTTCACACCTAGGACTAACTTGTATATAAGCCAATGCTGCTTCGTGCTCTGAAGAAGATGAGCCAAACAGGCTGCCAGATGCCACATGGAGAAAATTCTGCCCTAAATGCATTTGCCAGCAACCTTCCCAGAGAGTCATTTTAGCCACTCTATCTCTGCTATCCTTTGGCTCAGCTCCTGTGCCAACTCATAAGTGAAGCTGACCCCATATCCTGTAGTCAAAGACATTATTTCCTTCTTCTGGTTTCAGCTATACTGCTTACTGTCTACACTGCCCATAACACTTCTGCCTTGTGTCATGTGCAGTTATGTTCATGTCTATCTCTCCCACTAGTTTGTATTTCCCAAAGGGAAAGATCTAAGACTGTTGTGTTTTTGTATGTCTTATCCTAGGTACTCATTAATAATTAAAACAAAATGACACTTATTGGGCTCTTTTTTTTTTTTTGAGATGGAGTCTCACTCTGTTGCCCAGGCTGGAGTGCAGTGGCGCAATCTCGGCTCACTGCAAGCTCCGCCTCCTGGGTTCACACCATTCTCCTGCCTCAGTCTCCTGAGTAGCTGAGACTATAGGCACCTGCCACCACACCCAGCTAACTTTTTTGTATTTTTAGTAGAGATGAGGTTTCACTGTGTTAGCCAGGATGGTCTCGATCTCCTGACCTCATGTTCCACCCACCTCAGCCTCCCAAAGTGCTGGGATTTCAGCCGTGAGCCACGGCACCTGGCCAAGTTCTTTTTTTTTTTTTTTTTTTTTTTTTAACTTGAGACAGGGTCTTCCTTTGTCATCCAGGATGGAGTGCAGTGGCACAATCATTGTTCAGTTTAGCCTTGAACTCCTGGGCACAAGCAATCCTCCCACCTCAGCTTCCTGAGAAGCTACAGGCACACGCCACCATGCCCAGCCAATTTTTTTAATTTTTTTTTGTAGAGACAGGATCTTGCTATGTTGTCCAGGCTGGTCTTGAACTCCTAGACTCAAGCAATACTCCTGCCTTGGCTTCCCAAAGTGCTGGGATTACAAGTGTGAGCCACCACACCTGAACCCTTGAGTATTTATATGCTGGGCACATTGCATATGGCGTATCACTTAATTCTTACAGTTCTGTAGCATGATGGGTAAAGAGCATGGGCTTTGGATCAAGACCACCTGTGTTTAAAGCCTTCCTCCTTCTGCCGTCTGCCAAATAACCTTGAAACAGGCGGAATCCCAGTGGTTTTCTGACTTAAAGCCTCAGCTCTATTCTACCTCCATAGAAGCCCCATAGATTTAATTGAATTAGACCCATTAGCTTAAGGACCAAACTCATTCCTCTTTGTCACTAAGTAATTCTAAGGCAGCCCCCATTAACTTGTGACTTAATGTATTCAGGTTTTTAGACACAGATAGTGATTTTGCTAATCATATGGATAATATTAATTCTTTACATTTCTTTAGTGTTTGGCCATTTTCACAGTTCTTTCACATAAATTACCTCCACTGATCTTCAGACCATTCTTGTAAGGTGGGCGGGATAGCTGTCCTTTTCCCCACTTTACTGAGAAGTACAATGAAGAGAGAGAAGCAAAATGACTTGACATTTATCTCGTAGCCAGACAGCGGCAGAGCTGCAACTTGAGCCAAGAAGTAAATTCATCAACAGGCTCCCTGCCTCTATCTTGCTTTGTCCCTCAGCAAATTCATCAACAGGCTTCCTGCCTCTATCTTGCTTTGTCCCTCAGCAAATTCATCAACAGGCTTCCTGCCTCTATCTTGCTTTGTCCCTCAGCAACACACATGTGTGTATGCACAGACTCACTAGCAAGCACCAAGAATCAGGTGCTGGGCTACAGCCTCCATGGTTCAAGCTGTCTAGTAACCATAGCAATTGCCGCTGTCCTCGTGGCAAATGAGATCACCCAGTACACACTTGCTCCAAGATTTGAGTTACAAGAGATGAGGCATTTTCCACAGAGGGCCATTAAGTTTGGAATTCCCTTTCCCTGGTCTGACATAACCCTAGAGTATTCATCTTCTGGGTCCTTGCAAACTACATCAAGTTGAGTTAGCCAGTCATGATTGGTAAGAAATCCTAACAGGCAGGAAGAAAGTGCTAAATTAACTTCTACATGTGAGCAATTCGCAATTTTGTGGGTGGATTTTTTTTCCCTAGGCATCCTTTAGGATAGCTACCCAAGCATACGTTATTCTCATTCTTTAAAAATGCACTTATAGTTCACAGTCAGTCTGCATGGTTTTGTTTCTGTGTTCTTACATCATGTCGCAAATGATGTGATGGAGAAACCTATAGGGAAGTTTTTGTTTCTTTTGCATAAACTATTTTGTAGTAATTGATCAGCCATAAAGAAAAGATTATCTCCTATGCACTCACAGCGAGTTCTCTGGTCACCAGAGACCAATAAGCTGTGTCCCTAGAACTATTATCACTTTGTTGAAGAAGCTGCTATGTGAACAAAAACCAGTCTTCGTTAATTTCCCTTTTCCTATTGAAAAAACCTTGTCAGCATTTTCCCTTTGGGAATCTATAATGTGTCAATAGTTCATATTATTTTAGTTCTAAGGAGGAGAGATGTAGGGCAGTATGTCATTCTTAAGATCTCTTATTCATCGATTTTCATGCTAAATAAAGTAAAATGCTTCACATTTTTACTGTATTATAGTGTATGTGTTTTTTTATTTCATAGAAATATAAAGTTTTAGAAATGTAAACCACTTTTGAGACTAATTTGAATTCCACATCCTACCCCCCTCACCCTAGTCCATTTAACTGATGGAGGAAGCCTGAGAAGTAAGGTGGTCAAACTGAGCTTGCATTCTACTGAGTGATGGAATTGGGATATACATTCTGAGTCCAGTGCTCTTTTCCATTGTACTCTGCAGTGTGTATCTGTTTTCTCTCCATAACTGCTACGTAAGCTTTGGGAAGCAGGGATGATCCTTATATGTGCCAATTAGAACTGCCTGGTAAATGCTTGTTAACTAATGTCAGCCATTGTGTCATAGTTACAAGAGCTCATATGTTACACCACCTCCCTTTCATTATCTGTTCATTTTTTTTGTTTGTTTGTTTTTTGGTTTTTTGTTTTTGTTTTTGTTTTTCTTTTTTAAGGCAGAGTTTTGCTCTTGTCACCCAGGCTGGAGAGCAATGGCATGATCTCAGCTCACCACAACCTCTGCCTCCCAGGCAATTCTCCTGCCTCAGCCTCCCGAGTAGCTAAGATTACAGATATGAGCCACCATGCCCTGCTGATTTTGTACTTTTAGTAGAGACGGGGTTTCTCCATGTTGGTTAGGCTGGTCTCGAACTCCTGACCTCAGGCGATCCGCCCACCTTGGCCTCCCAAGGTGCTGGAATTACAGGCATGAGCCACCCTGCCTGGCCCATTATCTGTTCTTTTATATTCAACCTCCTGTGTAGATGTAGAAAAAGTTGAAGGATGGCAAGTAATATAAAATAGAAAGGAATCTGATTAAGCTTGCCTGCCATTGTTTCTTAACATCCACATTGAAGTTGAAAAATGTTTTAAGGAAAAATCTCATGGACCTAAGATTGTTTATGAATGGCTTCAGTGGTCTCATATGTATAGTGACTAGATTCCTATGACACATTATCTTTTATTTTTTTAAAAATTGTGTATTATTGGCCAGACACGGTGGCTCACACCTGTAATCCCAGTACTTTGGGAGGCCAAGGCGGGTGGATCACAAGGTCAGGAGTTTGAGACCAGCCTGGCCAATATGGTAAAACCCCGTCTCTACTAAAAATACAAAAATTAGCCAGGTGTGGTGGCGGACGCCTGTAGTTCCAGCTACTCGGGAGGCTGAGGCAGGAGAATAGTTTGAACTCGGGAGGTGGAGGTTGCAGTGAGCCAAGATCACGCCACTGCACTCCAGCCTGGGTGACAGAGCAAGCCTCCATCTCATTTTAAAAAAAAAAAAAAAAAAAAAAGTGTATTATTTCCAGCCATGGGAAAGAAAAGGACAGTAGAGTTCATGTTCAGAATGAAAGAGTAAACATCACAAGTTAGTCTGACCTCAGCTGTCAGTTCATTCATTGTGAATTTTTGTGCGATGGAAGAAATTGATTCAGGAATTGTTTGTCCTGCTATTAGTTTGTATGCATAGTAACATTCTAAATACTCACTATAACTGTATTATAGTTTGTTTCAGTGTTGGAAGGCGTGTTGTCTAAGCTGTCAAGGTATGATGAAGGCACTTTCTTTTCATCCATTCTGTCATTCACTGTAAGTATTTGAATGAGTTCTCTTCTGTGGTCTTTTAACTGTTGTCATAGTACTTATATGGCAGTTAAAAAAATAATTCTCATGATTATCTCTTTCTTTCACACTTAAGGTGAAAGCAGCTGCAAAATATGTTGATGTTCCAGTAAGTATTTTTTATCTGCTTTTTAAAACTGTATGGAATTCTTTAAAAAAAAATTGCAGTTCATCATGGGTTTATTTCAAATCTTTAAACCAGTGCCATTCCCTTAGGGAGTAGTTTATTTTCCTTAAGCAAGCACTAACCTTCATAACAAGACATAGCAAGGTTATTTCGTTGACTTTTTCTGTTGTAACTCAGAAACTCTTAAGGAGATCAGTTCATCATAAGAACATATCACCTGAGTTGCAGAGGGAAGTTATAGCACTCTAGGATGGGGTAGAAAAATGCCTCACACTATTTATAGAAAAACTGCTCGCTTTTCCTCCCCTTTCTATGAAAGCTGTAATGGGTTTCTTATAGAAGGTAGAATAATGATAAAGATGAACCAGTTAAAGAATTAGTTTTCTAAATACACAAGTGTTATATAAATCAGTAGTTACTTATTTTAACATTTGTTGTTTCATAGAATTCTTGGGAAATAACTCATAAATTTGTTCCAAAATTTAGATTCCATGAGCAGAAATCATGAAACTGACTTAGCTACAATGAGAACGTTCACATGGTAAACATAACCAACAAGTTGTGCAGCATTTTTAAGCTAATCATCATACCAAATTAGTTTTTGATTTAAATTCTATTATCACCTATATGATCAAGGCCTAAGGTGTTCTGTTTAATCATTTATTTTGGCATATATGTCAATTTTCAAAGAATTAGAATTAGAGCACAATGAAAAATAAATTAAGATTTAAGACTAGATGGAATATAAATTCTCTCTTTGTATTTGAAGAACATTATATCTCTACATTGCCATTAGAAATGGTAGCAGTTTTGAGTGCTGGCAAGCTTTATGTATCAGTTGTAGATAGCTCTTATTTTTAGGATGCACCACCACATTTTGTCTCTGGCTTTATTGCTGCTGTAGTTATAAATGAGTATTTTAAATGAGAAGGCCCTGGACTTTTCTACCTTTGCATGGGGTTTCTTTGGAACTGGACTTTTTATTTTACAAATGTTTCCCAAAGAAGTCTTCATACCCTCCTCGTCCTGTACCTAGAATCAAGGAATCAGTGCTGGACCATAAGTAGAAAAAAATCACATATGTAGAGCCCCACAAAGCAGCAGCATGAAAGGGAGAATTAAGGGGAGATTTTATGTTTGATATCTTAAAAAGGAAGGCACAAATAATCTTGTATATATCACATTGGACTTTGTAACACACATAGTTTTTGTTTGATTTTGAATTACAAATGGACTGTGACACCAAAATTATTCATGTTCTTAGAGATTTTGAGGTTTTTAATTGGCCCTATACTAGTTTATTCTCTCCATAGAATTTCAGAGTTGAAGGAGACAGAAAATGGTTCATTTACTTCCCTTCTCAGTGCAAGTAACCCCTCTCTAACATCCCTTACAAAGATTCACTTGGGTGCTGTTTAATTATTTCAGTGGTTACAGGATGACCATATGGCAGCCTACTGTTAAGTATTATGAGTTGAAATTCTGTATCTTTGTGAATTTTACCCATTAATCCTCGTTCTAATCTCTCTTCTGCATGATAGCTCTTTGCATATTTAATGACAATTTTCATGCCTCCTCTTCCCAGGAGGTGTGGTGGCTATTCACAGGCATATGTTGTCTGAGGAACGCTTATTTTCTAGATTAAACATTCTCAATTTATTCACTAAACCCACTACTTAAATATTTATTTAGCACATACTAAGTGCTAGATCCTGGACATACATGATGAGACGTACATTTCTTGCCCTCAAATGGTTCACAATATTAAAGACAAAAGACATAGGGAAACAGACATATCATTATGCACACTTCTATGGCAATCATATCCAGACTCTTCATCATGCCAGTTACTAACCTAGAGGAATTCTAGCTTATCAGTGTCAGCATTAAATCAAGTTGCCCCCTGGAGCAGAACATACTATACCATAGATGTGGTTTGACCATGGCAGATTACAAAGTGATGAATTCCTTCTTCAGTTATGGACATTACACTTCTATTGTTGATGCCTGTGAATATTAACTTTAAAAGCTGTAAGGTCTTGTTGGCCGTTATTCTTTTTTATACTCAAACTCCAGCAAGTATGCCTCTCTGAAGCTGTCTCTTAAGAGAGTCTCATGAGAAAAAGAGCGCTGGCTCACCTTTCACAAAAATTAACTGAAAACAGACCTAGACCCACATACAATGCAGAACTATACAACTTCAAGAAGAAAATATAAGATAAAATATATATGGCCTTGGATTTGGTGATGAGTTTTTAGATACAACCCCACATAATTCATGAAAGAAAAAAAATTGATAAATTGAACTTAAAAATTGATAAGTATACTCTTATTCATTGTTAAGAGAAAGAAAAGCCACAAATGGGAAGAACTATTTACAAAACACATATCTGATAAAGGACTTGTATCCAAAGTGTTCTAAGAACCCTTAATATTCAACAATATGAAAACAACCAAACTTTTTAAATGGGCAAAAGATCCAAACAGGCACTGCAACAAGAAAGATATGCAGATACCAAGTAAGCTTATGAAAAAATGCTCAATATCATTTGTCATTAGGAAAATGCAAATTAAAAGAAGATACCACTATGTACTTGTTAGAATGGCCAAAATCCAAAAACAAACTGGCAACAGCAAAATGTTGACGAGGATAAGAGAGCAACAGGAACTCTCATTCATTGCTGGTAGGAATGCTACAGCTACTTTGGAAAACTGTTTGCCAGTTTCTTTTAAAGCTAAATATAGCCTTACTATGTAACCCACCAATCACAGTTCTCTGCACTTATCCAACTGATTTGAAACATATGTCCACCCCAAAATCTATGCACAAATGTTCATAACAACTTTGTTTATAATCACCCAAACTGGAATCAACCAAAATTGTCCTGTAGTACGTCAATGTATAAATAACCATTGGTACGTCCATACAATGTAATTCTATTCAGCAAAAAGAAAAGAGCTCTCATCTCACATGAAGACATGGATGAATCTTAAATGCATATTGCCAAAAGTAGCCAATTTGAAAAGGCTGCATACTGTATGATTCCATTTATATCACATTCTACAAAAGGCAAAACTATAAAGACTATAAACAGATTAGTGGTTGCCATGAGTTCAAGGTCAGGGAGGGCTGAATTGTTCAAATACAGGGGATTTTTTGGAACACAGCAACTATTCTGTATGATATTGTAATGGTAGATACATGACACTGTGCATTTGTCAAAACCAAACTTTATAGCAAAAAGAGTGAACTTGAGTATATTCAATTATTTAAAAATCAATTAAGTGATCATAGAATCCCAGGATGGAAAGGAAACTATAATAAAATAATTCTATTGTGAATGTATGAGATAAACTCACTGAAAGAGGAGCGAGGAAAGTGCTGATCTGAGTAACTTTGGAAATTAGTGGAGTCTGTAAGAATAAGGGGAAATGGAACTTATAAATAAGCATTGTACTCTGGTTGATAAAGTTTTTCTCCACAGTTTAACAATTTTGAAGCCACTATACGTGTGTATTGGAATTGAACAATTAAGTAAATGGATGGTGGTTGGTAGGAGCCAGGTTTCTCACCGTTAGAGTCAGGTTAGAGGCAAGCAAAGGAAGGGGACTAGAATGATCCTGTAATGGATTAGAGTTGGAAATATCAGTGTGAATTTGTCTTTAGCTTAGTACAGATAGAGCTGGTTACATTTAACAGTATTTTTAGATATATGTATATGCATGCGTTAATGTGCTCACATACATTTTCTTGCTCTGTTAGCTCAGAGAGCCTAGAAACAGTGATGCCCCAGTAGCAACAAGCCCACATAGCACTCAAATTTGTTCTCTAATCTTTAATGAAATGAACCAGGGCTCATTGGAGAAATGGCTGGTGCTGAAAAATATACAAGATGAACGTGGAGCATCTTGTAGCAACAGAAAGGAGATGTTCACAAAAAACACAAAACTGGAAACTCTGTGTTTCAAAGAGACACAGCAGATGATGGAAAGAGCTCCCAGTGGCCTAAGCTAGAGTAATTTGAGCGAGCAAATATGTAAAGTAATATTGGATTATAATCCAAAGCATAAAATAAATATCCATTGGTCCATACTGATACAAGTAAATATTGAAGTACATAATGGGGAGAAAAGACAGCTCTCCCATGCAGAAGAACTCCAAATAATTAATATAGATACTTCCCTCTCAGGGAGGTGGAGCATATATCCCTACTCCTTAAGTGTGGGATGTACATAGTAACTTCCTTCCGAAGAGTACAATAAGCAAAGGAAGATGGGGAGAATAAACTTCCAATGGAGAAATTTGAGAAATATTACCCCAGCCAGTTGATCAAAGGTCAACATCTGCAGTGATAAATCATATTGATAATATCAGCCTTTGACAGGATGTGATGAAAATGGCACTTTACCTCTATGGTCTTCCTCTAAAAATCTTGTAACTGCAGTCTAATCATCAAAAAAAATCAGACATATCTCAATAGGTGATACACTACAAAATATCTGAGAATACTCCTCAGAATTTTCAAGGTCATCAAAAAGAAGGAAAGTAGGAGAAAGTGACACAACCAAGAGGAGTCCAAGGAGACCAAATTACTAAATGTAACGTGGTATCCTGAATGATATCATGGAAGAGAAAAAGGATATTGGGTAAAAACGAAGGGAAACTGAATAAAGCTCACACTTCAGTTAATAATATTGTGTCAATATATGTTCATTAATTGTAGGAAATGTACCATACTAATGTAAGATGATAATAATAGGGGAAATTGGGTGTGGGTTATATGAAACTAATATTTCCACAGTGTTTCTGTAAATCTAAAATTTTTCTAAAATAAAATGTTTATTAAAAGAAAAAAGCACTGGCCAAGGACTTAATAATACCTTACTGTTAATTCATTTTATCTGGCTATGTGCCCTTGAAACTGTATGACCTTGGGCATTACTTAAGTGGCCCCAGTCTAGTCATCTATAAAATGAGTGAATAAGCTACATAACTGCATTAGTTCTTTTAACTGTAATGTTCTGTCACCATGTGAGTTCTTGTCCAGTTCTCTCTATGAGACAACAGAGCCCAAAAATTCCACCTGGAAGATGATGAGAAGATAAAGAGCTAGAAAAAATTTTCTGGATAAGAAGGCAATACCTTCTTATAATACCGTCACTTGTCGGAATTTTTTTTTTTTTTTTAATAAGACAGCCTCACTCTGTGCCCCAGGCTGGAGTGCAGTGGCCTGATCTTGGCTCACTGCAACCTCCAACCTCCCGGGTTCAAGTGATTCTCGTGCCTCAGCTTCCGAAGTAGCCGGGAAAACAGGCATGTGCAACCACACCTGGCTAATTTTTTGTATTTTTAATAGAGATGGGGTTTCACCATGTTGGCCAGGCTGTCTGAAACTCCTGACTTCAGGTGATCCGCCTGCCTCGGCATCCCAAAGTCCTGGGATTACAGGCATATGCCACCATGCCTGGCTGGAATGTTTTTAAAGCAATAAATAAATTGATTCTATAACGTGAAAATTACAACTGAAGTTAAGTGGCATTCCTATGCAGAAAAGGAGGAATTCATGTTCCTAGAACATACTTGTCAGATATTCCTTATAATTATAGCACAGTTGAAGATGTATGAGTTAACAGAAAATGACCCAAATCAAACCATTTAAATATAATAAACATAGTCTTTTGTATCTTTGTAACATATACTTCTCATGACACTTTATGAATGAAAAAAAAATCATACTTAGGAGAAAAATGCTTCAGTGTAGTCCTGAACAGAAATAAATTCCAGGCACGTGCCTCTTCACAAAGAAGTTGGTAGGATTCTCCTTGATATCTTTCTGATCTAGATGATGAACTGTGTCCTTCAGTATAGTTTGATAGATTGCTCTTGGCTAGACAACCCTATCTTGGGGAGGAGTTCTGTGGCAGTTATACAGTTTATGGCCCCATCATAGAACCTTGGAATGCTCATGGTGGCAAAGACAACAGACATTTGAAAAAAGAGTGAGAAAGAAAAAGCAAGACCTGGACTAGGTGAGTCTGTCCTGTTCAATAGTAACTTAGAAGGGAACTCAGATCTGACAGAAATTAGATGCAGGACGAGGATGAAAATGTTCATATTAGCTTTGCGGATAGGAATACTAAGAACCAAAAATTCTGCAGGTTTAAATTATTATACTAACCCCTCCCCCCCAAAAAAAAAGTTTTGCTCACCCGTAAGGTGGGTAAGATGTAGCTGATAGCAAATGTATGTAAAAAGTTGTATAAAAGATCATGTTTGACAATAATATGGAGTACTTTTTGAAAAAATCAGGTATATAGATCTATGGAGGCTGCATAACAGGGGGGTTACTTACAGGCTGAGGAACCGAACTGCTGGCGGTTGAATCCTTGCTCCATCACTTCATCTATTATCAGTGTGACCTTAGGCACCAGTTTCTTCTTCTGTAAAATGGAGATGTAATTACACCTCTTATAGGCTTATTGTGAATATGTTAAGCAGTTTTCACAGTTCCTAGAATGGAATTAGTGCACAATAAATGCTAGCTATTATCATACATTATTATTATTATTGATTACAATAAAATCTAGTATCTACATTGTAGGAAATAATCATTTCACTTATACCATATTGATCGCATCTGTATGATTGTGAACAAGTCACATCTGAATTCTTTCAAGGCAACATTTTCTTTTTACTTTACTTCCTCCTATAGAAAGCAGCCAGGCTAGTTAATGGGATCTGGAAATAGTGGCTTATGAAGGAAAAAAAAAGAAATCTGACTGTTCCTAGAAAGAGGGAAAAAAAATCTAAGAGATAAGGTAGCCCTGATCAATATGTAAAGGGCTCCTGTTTGGAAAAAGGAACAGCCTGAGCCTGTATCAGTCAAGAAGATAGGACTAGGAACAATGACTAAAAACAAGTGGGAGCAGAACTGAAATCAGTGTAAGACAAAACTTTAAAAAAAAGTTATTTACAAAGGTGACATAGTAAAAGCTGCACCACTGTTTGCCAGGTGTGGTACTGAAGATTTCTGCATTATGTGGGAAATAGGACAAGATGACATTAAAGGTTCTTTCCAACTCTGATTCTGGAATTTTATTCTATTGTCATTCTAGTTAAACAGGACATTTTGGGGTTTAAGGATGTATGTTGATTTTTAAAATCCCTATTTAAAATGGTCTTATTAACATTATCACACACGCTGCATACCAACTCTATGCTAGACACTAAGGTGAAACAGCTGAAGAGACTTGGAGGATACGATAAAGATTACTGTGGCCAAGAAAAGACCAAAACAATGAGGAAGGAAGAAGAAACTGTCTCTCTTCATTGGCTTAATCGTACTGATGCCTGATCTTGGTGGTTTGTCCTAAGATAAAGGAGATGGCTAATCTTTCTCTTATCTTCATTAGGAATTCTCTCAAATATTCTCTCATCTTTATGATACTTGCTAAAGATTTCTCATTTCAAAATCCCCAAAAGGTGGTTCTTACCCACCTCTGTACTGCACAGACTTGATATGGGGTCGAGGATCTCCGTTCATTTTCCACCTTGCTCCTATCTAGCTGTTTGATCTGTGGGCTTCCATTTTCCCACCCATGCAGTGAGGATAATAGTATTTAAAAGTATTGCCATTACTTTTAATGGCAAAAAACACAATCACTTCTGCACCAACCTATAATCCCTGTGCTGCCTCCCTCATTATGAGAATTCAGAATTCGATGAGCACATTAACGTGAATGTGCTTTGAATTGTAAAGCACTGTTGCAATAAATTGTTATTGTTTCTACCTGGAATGATGCTTCCGGCTCCCATGCATTACTCCCTAGTTCCTGCTCACTACTTAAGAACGTGACCAGTTACCAAAAGAAAAACCAGTTGCCTTCCACAGAGTGAACAATATTAGCTTTTTATTTTTTCATTTATGTTCCCTTTTAGAATAGTACACACTGGTGGCTTTTAGGGTATAATCAGTCAGTTCAGTGACATTAGTGTTTTCCCTCTTCCTTCTTTTGCTTCCTTGCTTCTCATGTTGTTTACTACTTAGATAACCACACCTGAATACTCGGAGCTTTACATCAGCATGAGAGCCAGACAGAACTCGGGGAATGGAGCTCTTGCCCACAGGGGCATATTCACCTAGAGAGAGGGATGCACACCAGGACCAGATTAAGAGCCTCACTCGTCTAGGAGTGGAGGAGGTTGTGTGTTGTGCTTTCCAGATGAATGTTTTGCTTCTTTATTCCTTTGTGTTTTGTCTGTCTGGCTTTTCTCTCTTATGTAAGATAAATCCATGAGCTGCCTCCAGACACTGGAATTCTAGCACCCTGAGTCGTCACTTAAGCCAAAATCTGAATCATTCCAAATTGAGCTGAGTAAACCCATCCCAGTCCATCTAAACTTTAAAAGCTAAAAATGAAATAATGCAGCATTTTAATTTTACTTCTTCAAGTCCTCATGTAGTATTTTCTAATTGACACAACTGTAGATGAGGGAAAGGCTAGTGAACTGAGAGATTTAAAACCATCATCATTATGATTGCTACTTATGAATATAATAGTATAAAGCTCATAGGTAGTGTACACATTAGCACATTTTGTGTTTGGTGCTACTGTATTAGCAGCTATTCCTCTAAACTCTGGGATGTTAGTGATCTAACCGTAGATCAGAAATAGCAAGATACTTGATCCTCATAGTCCCAAATGGGGAAGGCATTGTAAACCCATAGATCTCAATTGAAAATTACCTTGTCCCCTTGAGTAGTTCAGGCTAATATCTTAAACTATCATTCAGTATTTATTTTAATATTTAAAAGAAACTTCTCTTTGAAAGGATTTTCCCCATTGATATAATAAAATGTAACATACTAATGCTACATAACTGTTTCTAGACCTATAAATGTATAAATTATGTAACTACTTAGAAGAAATAGTGTGAAACATTCATGTGACTGTTAAGAATAAAAGTAATATGACTACCTAAGTTTTAGTAGCATTAATTATAATAGATTCTGATATCAGATACCTTCATAGCATTAAGGTAGGATTCTGCCTTTTACCAACTATACTCAAGTAACAGACAGAGGACCCTGATCCAGGACAAGAACTCTGCAGTAATGGAACAGCCCCTTAGAAATGTGGGATTGAATCAAATGTACCTACTTAAAACACATGTTACATGCTCTAAATCTAAAAGCTGTTTTCAAAAGGATGTGAGTGTCATTATTTTTAATTCAGAATTGTCTACTCCCAGTTTGGAGTCAAAACTACCTAAACATATAATAATTAATAGAATTTTGAATACCGCTAAATTTAACAAAAAAAAAAGTTAACTGGCTGCTTCATTCTTGAAATAATAGTTTGGAATTTTTTTTTTTTTTTTTTTTTTTTTTTTTTTGAGACGGAGTCTCGCTCTGTCACCCAGGCTGGAGTGCAGTGGCGCAATCTTGGCTCACTGCAAGCTCTGCCTCCTGGGTTCATGCTGTTGTCCTGCCTCAGCCTCCCAAGTAGCTGGGACTACAGGCACCCGCCACCATGCCCAGCTAATTTTTTGTATTTTTAGTAGAGACGATGTTTAGTAACACACCGTGTTAGCCAGGATGGTCTCTTATCTCCTGACTTCGTGATCTGCCCACCTCAGCCTCCCAAAGTGCTGGGATTACAGGCATGAATCACCACGCCCAGTCTGGAATAACAATGAGATTTTTTTTCATTCATGGTTTTTAAAAATCTATTTTTAAAATGCATATATTTGTGACTTGTTCGTTGTTTAAATTTCTTCCTCTCTGCCCCTTTTTAAATTATTTTTAGAGACAGAGTTTCACTTTGTCACCCAGGCTAGAGGGCAGTAGTGTGATCATAGTTCACCGCAGCCTCCCACCTCAGACTCCTAAGCAGCTGGGACTACAGGGATGCACCACCATGCCTGGCTAATTTTTTACTTTTTTATACAGGCAGGGTCTTGCCATGTTGCCCAGGATGGTCTCAAACCCCTGGCCTCAAGCAATCCTCCCACCTCAGCCTCCCAAAGCCCTGGGAATATAGACATAAGTCACTGCATCCAGCCCCCTCTTTATCAACTGTTTCTCTTCCCATCATATTTATTAAATATTTAAGTTGGCATAAATGTAATTAGAAGGCTCTGTAATCTCTGTGTATTTCCATCTGGTTTTCTGTGGGAATACAATATAATCTACTTTGTAAAAACTTGGCAAACTGTATTTAGTTTTTTACAACATAATCATGAATATATGAAAAAACCTTTTTTATGTGAGAACATATAACTTATTTAAACTACTTCAAATGCTTTTGAAAAATTTCAGGAGATTTTTATTCAAATATAAAAATACAGAAATTGATAAATGCCAGAGCATTAAAGATATATTAAATAGTGAAAGAAAAATATTGTTTTTAACAATACCTGAGATAAATTACATGTTTGTAGAACTATGTTCTATGATCAATTATAAATTTTTACTGAATCTTAAATGCCAGAATTGAGATATAAATTGCTCCTACTACAATTTCAAATTTCGAAGACATGTTATTTATTGTCTTATATCTTACATGATCCTTTTTTCTCAAATGGTAATGAATGGCCAGACACAGGTATTTCATTTACAAAGCAAGCAGATAATCATAACGCAGGATATTACACTTCCACTCTTGATTGTTTCTTCAAGGCAAGCTTTTCTAGGTTATGAGAAGTGCACTTTCAAATTAAGTCAATTACACTGTAGCTTCTAGTTAAGCTTTGAGGCTGGAATAGTATATTTAAAAATTTGTCTCCTTGTTAAATAGGCACCATGACAGTGTTTGTGTAGTGTATTGCTAACCTTCAGTGGAAGGTTAAGCAGCTTCTTCTGTGTCTAAATCTGTTGCCGTGAAAAATGACTGCAGTGTTGCACCCATCTACCCATGAATAGGGAAAGCGAAGACTTGCACCTGTGGGATTAGGTGTAGCAGCAGGAAGCAAGAGCGTTTGCAGCATATAATTAACAAGGAATTTTTTTCTCTTTAAACAGCGTGTTCATCTTACTAGGTTAACTAGTGATTAACGCTTGGGAAAAAAGTGCTGGAGTCTGCACCCTTTCTTAAATTCGTTCACTCACTGATGTATTTGATTACTTATACAGTGTCAGAGGAACTCACCTTAAAATACTTCATTTCCTCCCATAGTTCTTGATCCCTTTGTGCTCATGGGGGAATTTTTTAGATTTTTGTGTTGTTTCACTATAACTTTGCTAGACAGATTCTATTATTTTCTGAATGAGATTAAAAGTAATTTAGGAACTACTATTTTCATTTAGAGATTACCATCTTAATAAACAAGATGGAAGAGTTAGTGTGTAGTGAACTAAGGATCCTGGAGGTTTAAATGGGAGTATGAAAAAAATAATTTACTCCGAAATGGCATTTAATACATAGAGTACTTACTATATGGTTTTTGTTATTTTTCTCATATTAAGAAAACTATGATTACCAATTTAGAAGAGATTTCTAAATATAGCTCTCTAGAATACAATATTCTTAATAAAAACTAATCTGAATCCACAGCTGTTGAAGTTTAACCGGCCACTTTTTTGATATAATTGGTAGTCATGCATTTGTATCAGAATGTGTAGTTATAGTTTGTCTTTACAATGCAATCATATGCATTGTCTTCATGTACACACCAAAAAAAACCCCACAAAAATGTACTAGCATACTTAGTTATTATTTTCACTAAACTTCATATTCTTATAACACTTAATAATGATTCAAATTAGATGCAGTGACTTTCGGTGTGTAAATTTTACCACCATAATAAAACAGAGTCTTAGCACATGGGAGCATTGAACCAGCGATAATGTCTTCTATCCAAACACATTTGTACTGTATGTAGAAACTGTTTAAAAGGAAAATTACATCTTTTTCAGCAATTTATCAGAGATAATTACCCTTCATACACCAAATGAAAGATAAAGTGTTTTAAAGAACTACAATTCTAATTGGTAAATGTCACCAGCTGTTGCAGTTACTCTTACTTGTGTATATTCTTTTAATGATTATACACTCATGCCACAAGCTACATGAAAATGTATTCACTAGGTGTGAAATTCCCATATGTCACAATTTCAAGAATAGGTAAACAGCTCAATGATAAAGGAAGAAATAATTCCAGTGAAGAATGTAAGAATTCTGGGTTTGTTTTTTAGGCAAGTGGATCTTAATTTGCCAAAAGGGAAGAAAATGCAATTTTTTTAAAAAAAGGAAACACTTGATTTTTTACAACAATCAAGTGTATCCTCAGCCAGAGATTTTTATTTCCTTAGAAAGTTGTGGAACTGTCTCAACTTAGAAATTTCAGTATTATATCCCTTGGATCTGCCAATAGGAAAAGCATTTCGTTTTCTTTCAGGCTTAAACTGTAAAGTGTTAGTTTCAGGTGGTGGAAAATAAACTCTTCCTGGACAGTGTTTCATGATAGTCTAATCTTATAAGTGATCAAGGAAACAGAAAAGAAATTACCGTAGTGTCTATGGTAAATGTTTAAAGTCATTATTCAGTCTTCCTGGCCATAACTTAGTTTCCACTGAGACTGATAGGTCTAGTGACTGACTGAACTGAATGTCTAAGCAGTGGCCTTTAAAAGATGGAAACAAAAATGGGGTTGGGGTGGGGAGAAATAGTAGTAAAGACAAGCGTCCCATTTGTCTGTTCTTCAACTCCCAGTTCAACTGGGCTGTACCCAACTACCTTGGTATTTTGTACATTACAGCATCCTGTTTCTGGATACTTGCCTGAAACTCAGATACTGAGTTAACTTGCTATTGTGTATTGAAAATTGTTCTCATGTCACTTTCGTTCTGCAGCAGCAGGTTTTTTGAATGTTCTCATTGTCAGTGTTTTGACAAAGTTTGAGAGGCACAGAGAGAAATATGTATCTTAGGAGTTAGTTTCCTTCAAGTATTAATAGTAGTAATCTTTGTACAAATTACCCTGCCTCTTCACTGGAAGAGCCAATGTATAATCTTGCTAGACCCAAAGAAGAAAACAGTCTAGCTTTTTTATTGTTTATCCTTGTAATTGTTTAAACTTTCAAACATTGCTCATGAGAATTATTGAAATAGTGAAGGAATGAATTTGATAAATTGCCTCCATTAGGTTGAAAATAGATAGCCAACATTGTGTATGAATGCTACTGAAGGAGAGACCAGTAAAGACATTTATATAGTTATTTCAAGTTACAGCTAATGTTGTTGTATCAGGGTCATGTTGAAAGGATCCTTGAATTTATGTGGTATATATTTACCTTTAGACTAAATATAAGAACAGTAAGAGATTGCAGTAATTCTTACTGCACAGAAATAACTTTGTAACAAAAAATCATTAATTTTTATAAATGGAATAAGTAAGACATGCTCACTGCCTATACTATATATTGGTTAAGAGATGGTCAATTTTATTATGTTATATAAAATATGCCCCCTCCAAAAAAAAATGGCAAGAACTCTCTTTCATTTAGGGAGAAGATGTGACTACTGTCCTAGCATCACTCACATGTTTACCTTGAGTTGTTTTTTCCAGCAATGGTAATAGTTAAATGACCCATATCCTCTTTAACCTAATTTTCTTATAGTATTTACTTTTGCAAATGAGTCTGCTGACAAAGGTTATAAATGCTTTCTGTGAATACGAAATGATGCAAGGCTAACTGGCTTATTTGGGCATCAGTTCTACCTACCTATCATTAGGTCGATGGATCTATCTAATTTAATAGATCTACCTATCAAATTGGTAGCAGATCTACCTAGTGATAGATAGTTATCATTTTGTTCTTATTAATGTCATACTCTAATCAACAACTCAATACAGATTAGGAACCAAGCCCAGGTGTAGATGACACAAGTAAGTGCTTTCATTATCTAGTCCAGCTATATGAAGTTCAAGAAAGAGCTAAACATAAATCAATTAGAAAAAAGTCTTTAACAGCCATGCAGGCATCTATCCCTTACTAGTACTGACTTTGCAGCATCTATAGCAAGGAGAAATTGTATTACCTCCTCTACTATTAGAAGACACCAAATGTTAAATAACTTTGGAAAGGTATTTAATCCACATCTTCGGCTGTACATAGGAAACTAGTTCATTGATACTCTTGCCACATTTCTAAAAGAAAATAAATTATTCAGATAATGTTGTTAAATATTGAGTAGAAGCAATGGATAATCCACAAGATATTTTACATTTCATTTTGTAATATAGTAAATATTTTCCCCAATATCTTCTTCAAAATATTTTACTCAGCTTAATAAAAAATTTAGTTTGTATTCCTTGAACGCCCATAGTAGTTGAGGGAGGCACCCTAAGGAAAGCTAACATTTTTTGGTTTGGTTTTATTTTGTTTCATTTGTTTGTTTGAGACAGGGTCTGGCTCTGTTGCCCAGGCTGGAGTACAGTGGCATGATGACAGCTCACTGCAACCTCAACCACCCATGCTCAAGCAATTCTCCTGCCTCACCCTCCTGGCTAGCTGGGGCTACAGGCTCACAACACCACTCCCAGCTATTTTTTTTTATTTTTTGTAGAGATGAGGTTTCATCATGTTGACCAGGCTGGTCTTGAACTCCTGGGCCCAAGCGATCCACCTGCCTCAGCCTTTCAAAGTGCTGGGATTGCAGGCATGAGCCATGGCACTCAGCGCATTTTTAAATATTATTGATAAGCCAGCCAGAGATGATGCAAAGTAAATTGTATTTGCAACTGGGAAATTATAATTACACATGGAAAATTTTTGGAAAAATTTATTCATTTATACTGCTTGACATACTGGCCTTTCAAGATAGCCATTTAACAAAAAAAAAAAAAAGATATCTACGGATCTACAACTCTGTATTTTCAATTTGATCTCAAGTTGTGAACATCAGTAATAAACTTTTATTTGCTTTAATTATGGAATGTATTGAAGATGCTCACTTTTGGTTTAGTTTTAAGCTCCTTGTTATGACTGTAATTTTCAAAATTATTTTTCAGGGTATGATTAAATAATAATTTCACAATTGAGACCTGATATTATTTTGTTCCCCCTGCTTTTCCTTCACAACAGAAACCAGGAATGGATCTGGCAGACACCTATATTATGTTTGTTCGGCAAAACCAAGATATTCTTCGAGAAAAGGTCAATGAGGAAATGTATATAGAAAAGTTATTTGATGTAAGTAGCTTCCCTTGCAAGGTATGCTGACACCATAGATAAACTGCAAAGAGAAAAGTTGAATTTTGATGGTATGTTTGCAAAGCATAGTCTCCTTTTTGTGATCCTGTATCTTCTATACTAAAAAGTTGAAGCTGGCCAGGCATAGTGGCTCATGCCTGTAATCCCAGAACTTTGGGAGGCTGAGACCGGTGGATCAGTTGAGGTCAGGAGTTCAAGACTAGCCTGGCCAACATGGCGAAACCCCGTCTCTACTAAAAATACAAGAAAAAATAAAAGACATAGCTGGGTGTAGTGGTAGATGCCTGTAATCCCAGCTACTCGAGAGGCTGCAGCACAAGAATCGCTTGAGCCGGGAAGGCAGAGGTTGCAGTGAGCAAAGATTGCTCCACTGCACTCCAGCCTGGGTGAAAGAGTGAGACTTTCTCTCAAAAAAATGACTAAATAAAAAAATAAAAAGTTGAAGCCATTCTAGATATAGACCATCAAAGGTATATTTGTTGGTGTGTGGGCCGGGGGGATGGCGGGGTGCCTTCTGAATATCTTCAGTTTTTTGTCTTGGTGACCTATTTACTGAAATCCATTCTTGCCATCAGTTCATTATAAAGGTAGAAGTTTTTTCTCCTTGAAGTTATTCCCCATTTCCAATTCCTGTTCATTTGCAGCTAATATAGTTGATAATTTTTATACTTCTTTTGACTGCTGGAGGCCTTAATTAGCTTCCTTTTCTATATAAAAATTGTCACCATTAGAATGAGTCTCAAAAACCTGAGGTTAGTTATAAAAAGCCAGATAATAATAATTTTACCATGGTGTTCAGCATCTTTTCACTTGCCTTTTGCAGCATTCCATAAACAGAATCATGTTCTAATGGATGTGGTCCCTACTATAAGATGTTTTAAGTCAATATGATATTCTACTGTTAAACAAACAAATAAGCTGCAGTAAAGCCAAATATCTGCCACTCTACTGTTGAACATTTTTATCTTGATTTAAAGTACTGATATGTGCTAAAATATGCAGTATTACAGTTTTATCAGCACTAAGGTCTTCATTTAGGCATGACAATGCCTAAAAATGAGGACTGTGGTTTTGTATACTGTGATCGTCATGTTTCATTTATTCAGTATCTGTAAAGGAGACTAACAGAGCAGTCAATTTAAATAACAATATTGTCATTCATTTGTAATTATTTTACAGTCAGTTCAAAGGAAATGATACTTTGCTTGTGACATAACTTTGCATAATTCACCACAATACAGATTCCTAAATGTAATATTTGCTTTGAAGCTTATTTATTTATGTACATCTTCTCTGCATTTTAGAAATGCTTTTCTGGCAGTTTCACTTAATTATGCAAGTTACGGCAAATGTTTTCGTAACAGCAATTCACGGGCTTCATGGTGACACTTCAGCTGTGGCAGTTGCAGAAGGTCCTGCTACGTCATCCTCTCTGCCGTGGTCTCTCGTGTCAGTGTTCACTGTCAGTTTGGGTGGTCAAAATGAATTTTATCTTTCATGCTTTATGTTTCTACCCTTTACTCAGGCTATCATACAATAAAAAGTATTGCCTGTTTTAATAAGCTAAGTGTTAATATGTGTGAAAAAAATGATTTTCTAAAAGCTTTGATGCCCTGCAGGGGTAGAAAAATTATCATCCATCCAGCTGGCTCTTTTACAAAATACTGAAACCATATTAGCAACTTCTGCTTCCATTTGGTATTGCTCTGAATTTACAAGCATATGTTTCATTTCCAAGTTCTCTTTTACTTTTTCTGCTAATGTGGTGATTTTCAAAACTGTTGAACAGAAGAGGGAAATTGAGTTGATGTTATTCCCATTATGTTTCTTCTTAGAATAGCTAAAGCACGTCTTCTATGTTGAAAAGTTAAAGCCATTCTATAAGTAGACCATCATAGATAGATTTGTCAAGGGGAATGGGTGAACTTTCTGAACATCTTCAGTTTTTTGACTCGGTGACCTATTTACTGCAATCCATTCTTGCCATCAGTTCATTATAAAGGTAGAAGTTTTTTCTCCTTGAAGTTATTCTCTACTTCCAACTCCTCTTCATTCACTGAAGTTCTTTGGAAGACTTTCTATGTGGCAATGATAACAGACAGAGGGAACTAAAGTGGCTCTAAGGAGGCCAACATTAAAATATAACACTAGTTTAATTGCCTTGGTTATATATACTTTCATTCAATGCCTAAGCATCTGACATGGCTATGGGTCTAAAAGTAACCCTTAATAAGCAACCATTCTGTTTTGGTTGTGAAGGTTTTGTATTTTGAATATCCCCGGTAGAACACTGGACTTGTTATTTGTAAAATAATTGTAGTGTCCTTAAACATTCTAATATTTTTAAATTGCACATTTTTATTACTTTATTTAAAAATAAAAATAGACCCTAATTCTATTGATTTGTCATCAGGAATAACATGTATGAGGGGATACTAAAAGCCCCTAATCAGCCAAGACTGAATTTGCCTCAATTACAGTTAGAAAATGAGAGGTTATCAAGTACGTGTTGAAAGGCAAAGTAGAATGTGTATCTTAAGCAACAGATCATTACTGAGAGACATTATGTAATTATTGGAAATCCACTTGGCTGGAGCCTAAAATAATATTGTTAGGTGTCAAAAAACAGTTGAAAATAATGACCCTATAAATACTGTTAGCAACCTTAGCCTATTACAGATAAAAGATTGAAGAGAAAAATTTCATTCAGGCATCATGACGAACTTTTGCTATTCCAATTAGAGTATTTCCTATATAAGTAAGTAAATGGATCTTGTTAACTTCAGATGCAAGTGAAAACATGGTTACACACACATTATACTGAATTAAAACTTAGTGGTTTTAACCAACCCAGATTAGAAAACAAGGGCTACAGTTTCTGGGTCATGCAACATGAGGGCTTAAACTCTTCAAGAAATTCACTTAGTTTTGGAAATGCCACATATAACACTATTTTTATATAAAACAATTAGTCTGCAAAACATATTCACCCTGCCCCCAACATTTTTGGAAAGCATGTAATACTAAATAATCTTTGCAGGTGATGCAGCTGTGTTAAAAAGTTTGTGGAACTTTCCCTGAGTGTAGTAACTAACTACTCACAGTATCCCTGACCTCTATAACTTTTTGATCATTTAAACACCTTGATTGTTCCTGATTTTTGTGATGAAATACCCCAGGATTTGGTTTAAATAAGCTGCTATTGCTTAAGACCAAAAACATGACATTGGCCTAGATTCGTGCCCATTGTTTTTGGAATGAGATTGATATCTTCAAGAGTTTTCAGTGTACAACCTACACAGCCATTTACCGTATAAAATCTGCTTCTGGGGTATTCTGCACTGCTGCTATCATTCCCATCTCCAATAATAAGTCATTAATGTCAAAGTATGAGAGAGGAAATAAATAAAATCTGCATTACCTTAAAGGTCATAAATAGGATAATCTTTAATTTTTTTACATCAAATCTTGAAATATTAAAATTAAAAGTATCCTTTGAGGGTCACAAAAGCTAACATTAGGACAAATGTGAAGGCATTATATTCACCTCATAAGTAGTCACATTTACAAAACACTTTTTGCTTAAAACAGAAATAACTTTTTAAAAGTATAAATAAGTTATGGCAGGTCCATGATGTTAACAGGGAAAACTAAGTTTGTTTAAGGTACATCCTTCATCTTTTCAACCTATCAAAATAATAGCTGTAGTTTTCACCACTACCATTTCCTGGCCACCTCCTTGTTCCAGGAAATGTTCTAGGTGCTTCACCTATATCATTTCCAAGCTCCTAGGCTAGATCCCGTCAATCCCATTTTATCCCTATTTTTAGGTTAAAACATCTCCCACTCAGAGAAGATAAGTGACTTGTGGATTGTTGAGTCAAACTTTGAAATCGTATTTCTCAAGTTTCAAAGTCTATGCTCTCTCTACCTTACCTCTGACTTAACAAAATTTGAAATGATAAAGTAGTGTTATGGGAAGAGCTCTGGTCTGAGAATGCAGAAACTTGAGTTCCAACCACAGCTCTGCCATTAAATATCTGGGTGAGTTTGAAAAAGTTATGCCATCTGTGTAAGACTCAGTTTACTTAGTACGTGTAAACTAAAGATGTTGGTCTGGAACTCCAGATGATTTCTGAAACTCTTCCAGATTTTAAACCAATTTTTTTTTTAGTTTTAATGTTAGCAATGATGACCGAAATTACTGGACTGATTGCATAAAGGGTCTTGTACTTCAGTATAGTAATTTCTAAGTTATTTTGTGATAGCCATGTGAAAACAAGGTGTCCCACCAAAGAAGCAGTAGCATGTGCAGTAGATTAATAGAAAAGAAAATCTATCTACAAAAGTAGCTATGCCATATGACATTGTGTATATCTATCACTGTGGTTCTGAAACCCAAATTTTTTTAAAAAGTTGCAATATGTATATTCTGTATTCAGACTCAGTGTTTCCAGCTGACCAGGATGTTTTAAACAGAGGATATCTCTGCCTCTCACGTGACCACTGAGGCACATGCTAAGTTTATAATCTAGATATTACATTTACTTTTCCAATTTTAAAAAAGTGACTTGTTGGGTAAGAAAAACTGAAAGAAGTTATCCTGTAGTAGGAAAGATCATGAATATACCAAAAGAAAGTTTTTCTGCTTTGAGGTTCTCTCTCTTACACCAATGTCCTTTTTTTTTTTTTTTTTTAACACATAAGGCATCATTGTGAGCAGTCTTTTTAAAATTTTTATCAAATCAAAACCATCTTCAACCTGATCCCAATATAAAAAGTATGACAAAGATTTTCTAATTCTTCAATTCCATTTTTAATGCCTACTGTGATGTTTCTTCCCAGGCAGAGTGGCTGCTCACTCTCTCAGGTTTCAGAACATGTAGCACAAGCCACAGGTGTCCATGTGTCAGCAGAGATCCTGGTACATTTCTTCAGAGCTTTGGCTCTCTGGGCTGGAAAGGGGTGATTTTTCAGAAGTCAAAACTGACATCTGTAGTAATGACCACAACAGCACTTCTCTTGTCATTTTCTAAGGTCCAAGAATGTTGAAATGTGGAGGCAGTTGAGAGTTGACTGAAGCGCATCTTATTTTTCAAGATAGACACTAAACCTACCTAACTCTCTAAACCATTGTGCATTTATTGGGCACTGCCCACCTTGAATCCCTTGGAAACTATCTCATTTTAGCTCTCATGTTGCTGAAGACACATCAGGGTACAATGTTTAATTGGTAAATCATGCAGATTAAACATGCTCTTTGTTATAAATTGATTAAATGTTTAATTGTGGAGGAGTTTCATCTCCACAAGATTTTTTTAATGTTATGATGTCTTGTAATATTTAAAGTAATTCTTTAAATGATAGTTAATCAGTTATATTCATCCAAACAGCGTTTTATAAAGGCTTAATTTCCCAGGACTTTCTGTGAAAAGAATGCTTACTTTCCAGTGAAGAAACTCTAAATTAAACATTTTGAGTAAAATTGACCTATACTATATAAATGGATTCAGTAGACTATTAATGTAAGATAAAAAGAAAATAATGAAAATATTATAAGTGAATGTGCTTCTCAAAATGAAACTGATTTTGCACTTACATGCTCTTGTTTGCCTCTGGACTCCCAAATTTTAAGAAAGGGGGAAATGCCCAGAACTTTATTTTTTTTGGATGGAGTTTCACTCTTGTCACCAAGGCTGGAGTGCAATGGTGGAATCTCGGCTCACTGCAACCTCCACTTCCAGGTTCAAATGATTCTCTTGCCTCAGCTGCAGAGTAGCTGGGACAACAGGTGTGCAGCACTACACCTGGCTGGTTTTTGTATTTTTAGTAGAAACAGGGTTTCCCCACGTTGGCCAGACGAGTCTGAAACTCCTAACCTCAGAAGATCTGTCTGCCTCCACCTCCCAAAGTGCTGAGATTACAGACATGAGCCACCATGCCCGGCCTGCCCGGAACTTTTGAGCTAGTGCTTCACATCAATGCCCAAACTTTTTGAAGTGAGAATTTACTCATTCTTGGTAAGATTAACACTGCTATTCTTAATGTATTTAAAGACTGTTTATTACAATGTTGATTTCCTAAGAATAGTTGAAATCAACAAAACATGGATAAGAGTGACCATTAAATAGAACTTTCACGATACACAGTTGAAATCAACAAAACATGGATAAGGGTGACCATTAAACAGAACTTTCACAATACACTTGGTTATATAAGAGTGACCATTAAATAGAACTTTCACAATACACAGTTGAAATCAACAAAACATGGATAAAAGTGACCATTAAATAGAACTTTCACAATACACTTCTTTGTATGTATTTAGAGCTGATAATGTACTTTTTCAGTCATATTATTTGAGCCAGTTTCTTTGTGTATGTAATCAGCCTGTTTACTAGGAATGCAGGCTGGAACCCACTGAGATGGAAGACCATCTTTGCCTTCTTGCATGTCTTATAATTCTACGATATTATAGAAGAATTCTAGCTGGGCAGGATGGCTCATGCCTATAATCCCAACACTTCAAGAGGTCAACGTGAGAATGATCACTTACATCTAGGAGTTCAAGAACAGCCTGAGCAACATTGCAAGACCTTGTCTCTACAAAAAAAAAAAAAAAAAATTAGCCTAGCATGATAGTATGTTCCTGTAGTCCTAGCTACTTCGGAGGCTAAGGCGAGAGGATCATCCAAGTCCAGGAGTTTGAGGCTAGAGTGAGCTATGACCACACACTGTACTACAGCCTAGGTGACAGAGCAAGACCCTGTCTCAAAAAGAAAAATGGGATGCTTTCTTATATGTGAATGTCAGTTTTAAAATAGCAGTTTTCCTCTTTTCAATTATTTTTCACTTTTTAATAACTGTATAGTTGTTATATGGTCTTCACAAATTAGTATAGATTCCCATTAGGGTATTTTCACTTTGGTCTTATTTTTATATAAAAGTACTCAAATATAAATAATTAACTGTTGTACCAGTATGTCCAACCATGATTTTCCTATCAACACTCAAATACTAATATTATTCCCATGTCATAGCCATTATTTTCCTTTTCCATCAATAGAAAGGGATGTATGATATGAGTACAGTGAGGTACTTGAGGCTGTTTGAGGTTACTTATTTATTTATTTGTTTGTTTGTTTGTTTGTTTTTTTCTGAGACAGAGTCTCACTCTGTAGCCCAAGCTAGAGTGCAGTGGCGCAATCTCAGCTCACTGTAACCTCTGCCTCCTGGGCTCAAGCAATTCTTCCTCAGCCTCCCAAGTAGCTGGGACTACAGGTGCGTGCCACCATGCCTGGCTAATGTTTTGTACTTTAGTGGAGACAGGGTTTCACCACGTTGCCCAGGGTGGTCTCGAGCTCCTGAGCTCGGGCAATCTGCCCACTTCAGCCTCTCAAAATGCTGGGATTACAGGCATGAGCCACCATACCCAGCTGAGGCAATTTATTTATAAACATTGTTGTGTTGTGTACCTCAGTACCTCATTGTGTACTAAAGGTGGATAAAAAGTTTGACTAATTGGTTATATATATGATAGCAGCAGTGTCTTATTCATCTCACATGTTGTAGCAATCTGTTACTTAGCTGCTTTTAACACATTGTTTTCCAGCTGTTGTCATTGTTGTGTTTCATTGTATATAATCCTGCTTTGGTTTACTTATGGTATTTGGACTCACACTGAAGTTGTTTGACCTCTTTTAAGATAGTCATAGTCAAGCCTGTTTCTATATTGTCTTCTCTGCCTCAGTAGATGCCATACAGAGCTGCTCCTCAGCTTTTTTTTTTTTTTTTCCTTAAAGTTTGTTTCTCTTTAAAACCTCTGCTCTCGAATTACCGCTGTCTGGTTCCTTTGAGTTAATAATCCTCATTGTAATGTTAAGTTATTATTTGTAAGTGTAAGAATTTATAAAAGGATCAACTTTTGATGTATAGTGTATGCCAAAATAGCTTTGGCAAGTCCAGACGTGGTTCAGAGAGGCCAAAGGCCCTCATTTGAATCAGAGCTTTGGTGAATTAAAACCTGAGAAACTTGAGATAAGCATGCCCAATTGCCTAAAAGAAACTCAACCAGAAAGTGTATTAATAGCTTGTTGGTCTTATTTCTTTGATAATTCAAAAGAATGTTCAAGAAATATGTGGGCTTCTTGCTTAGATTCTTGAAATGTGATCGTGGAACACAATTGTCATTTGGCACATTCCCAGAAATACACATCTTTGCATGAGGCACCTGGACATATGTGGCAGGTCTGGTAGAATCAGCTAATTAACAACAGAGGCTTAAACAGGCACCTCATCTGGCAGTGCAGTTAGTTGCCTGATGGTGCTCAGCAGGATTTGGTAGTGCTTTTTATTTTTCTATCCTAATGGTCTGCTGCCCACCTAATTTTGCCTTATTGTCAGTCACTACTTACCGCAGCTTGGGGCCCTCCCAGGAGGCTAAATTATTATCAAAGGATTAGGGAGATGTAGCCTTGCAGCTCTGACATTTCTGATTACTTGTCTATGCCAGAACACTAATTAGCTGTGACTAATTAAGAAAAATGTTCCTGCCATAGAAAACTATTTAAAAGAACTGAGAAGTAGAAAAGCAATTCAAAAGCTGAGCAGTGCTCAGATTTGCTGATGCTCTTTAGATTTCCACCAGAGCCTTAACTCACCTTTAATTGTGCTCAGAATTAAAAAAAGAAATTCCACATGCAAACTGACCAGAGGATTTTGCTTGAATAGGAAAAAGAAAATGTTGATCACCTAAGCTCTCTTACCAATGGTAAAACTGTCTTTGATGAATGGAAGGTGACACAACTTTCATTTTCGTGGAGAAATTTTTCTAAACACCAATTGCATAATGTATATTTGCATTCATCCACCTGAGCCAGTAACAAAGGCTTAAGTCACTCAAGAAATTAGAATATTCTCTCTACCAATTTTATAAGAGACTGTTGAATTGATTATAAGGAACATGTTGAGCATTTGAAAGTTATTTAGCATTGCTTTCATGTATCTTTCATCTTTAAGATGGTCTAGAAATTCTGACCTCTATATGTAGAGCCTGTGACTTTGCATGCTTGCATTTCAACTGGTCTCTAGTGCCTTGTTCATGGAAATGTCCAGGCTTCCCCTGAGACCAGCATTTCTATCAGTTGATCACTGCAATGTTTTCATAGAACAGATAGCTACTACCCTCCATCTCTTCCATCCTAACTTCTTAAACAAATGGTATGGTGGCTTTAAAGCCATTTTCTGTGCTGGCCTTTTGTACTCCCCCTCTGTGAATCACGCCTTCTGCAAGGTCAGACCATTCACAAGTGGGCACAGCAGTGGCAGCCAGGTCACCAGTGTTGGCTAAATCCAAGAAAAAAAATCTGTGTAAGGAACCAGCAGAACTATCATTACATGTGATTATTGAATGCATTGGCAGGAAACTATATATAAAATAATTTTAAGCTTTCATATAAACACCTAACCTGTAAGAGAGAACCCTGAATTTCTTGATCTTAGCACAGCCCTAGATAACACATCATCTAAATTTTGCTGTCTTAATATGGACAAAATATTTCACTGGAGGGGAAAAAATAGTTCTCACCCGTACCTCACCTACATTCTTCATGCTGATTTTTAAACCCATTTCTCTTTTTTCTCTCATTGGAGAACAAAAGGCAGGTAGCCAGCATCCTCTAAGGAATAATCCCTCCTAAATATGAAGACTGTTATTAAGGTACCTGTCATACTTGTCTACTCCAGGATAAATAATCCCTATTTGTTTAACTGCACTTTGTAGGCCTTTTTTTCTAGCCCTTTAATCATCTTTGTGGCTGTCCTTTGAAACTTCTCAAAGTGTTCTCTGTCATGCTTAGGGTTTAGAGTCAAGGATAGGATGCAGTATTTGAACGTGGCTGAACAAGATTCTTTCAAGCCTTCTATTTATTCATTCTAATATATAACTTTCCCATACTTTTGCTCTACTGACCTCTATAGTTCCATATATTCCCTATATTTGTTTTTGTTGACTTTTTCTCTCACTGGCTACATAACTTAAAGATAGGCATTAATCTGAGGTCAGGAGTTTGAGACCAGCCTGGCCAACATGTGAACTTTCAACATGGTGAAACTCCATCTCTATTAAAAATACAAAAAGTAGCCGGGTGTGGTGGCACATGCCTGTATCCCAGCTACTCGGGAGGCTGAGGCAGGAGAATCACTTGATCCCGGGAGGTGGAGGTTGCAGTGAGCCAAGATTGTGTCACTGCACTCCAGCCTGGGTGACAGAGCGAGACTCCATCTCAAAAAAAGATAGGCAATAAATGTATAAGTTTAATGATGTAGAATATTTATTTTTGAGGCAGTAAAAGTACATGTTTATTCATGTAGAATATCCATTTCATTGGTGTTTTACATTAGAAGATCTAGAAAACAAACTCATTCAATTACTATGTGTAAAAAATGGTGGGAAATGTTGAGATTAAAACTTCAGGTCTTGGCTTTGCCCATAGAGATGGCTATCTATGTCACAATTACTCAATAGGAATCTAGTGAGAATAGAAAGTTGAAACCCCTCTTATTAATTATTTATTAATTGAACCTATATTTATCAAAGACTTTTTAGACCACACACTTTGCTAGAGGCTGGGAATACAGTATTAAACAAGATAGACCAAGTCCTTGCCCCAAGGGAGCTTACCAAATGGGTATTTTTGAAAAATTTTTATTTCCACATAAAATGTTTTACTTTTTTATCTGCAGAATAGCTATCCACAGATTTTTTTTTAAATGGAAGTACTCTGGTGAACTGAAAGTCAATACTGTTTCAAAATAGATACTAATAATTAATCTATTAAATTGTTTATTTATTTCTCCCTCTGCTTCAAGTGGATGACTGTAAACTTGCTAAAGGTTTAGAGCCAACACAAAGTTTGTATCCAGTTCTAGCACCTGCATCAAATGACGTGACTGTGAGATAAGAGCACACTCTTGCTCTCTGTTCTTCCTGGGTTCTTAGCTCAAAAGCCAGGCTTATATCAGCTCCCAAACAAGCTCTTATATCCCTACAGACAGAACTCACTATTTCCACAGCAACAATATTTTTCTGCCTTTCTTTAAAAACAGCTCAACGAAGCCAACAAGTGTAGAACGCACCCAGGACATGTCACTTAGTGGTGAAAATGCACAGGCAGCACATCCAGCCATGCCTCCTAATACACCCCATGGCCTCAGAGTGGGTACCAATAGACCTGAGCATATGCTAGAGAGGCAGCTCCCTGCTTGGGGGACAGCCTCTGGAGGGCTGAGTACATCAACATCTGAACTCATAGTGTTAGCATAGCTTTGTGAGTGAGTGTGTGTGTGTGTGTATTCTCATATATGTACATAGATATGAAAGTTTATCAATTTATAGTACTTTCTCTTTTATTTCATTCATCACCTAAAATAAAATTAGACTGTCACATTTTAAGCCCCATTTGAGTCCTGTCTTAAATTTTTTTGGCCAAATGCAACTGTTTACTTTTCAATGATTTCTACAGCTTTAACGTGTATTTAATTATTTTTCTGTTAAGGAAATATGTGATTCAAGTCAACAGTGAATCTGGCTCTGGTATTCATCTGTCCTTTGTCTATTGAAAAGCTGCCTGTCTGCTATTATAGATATGATATATATATATATAAATTTATATTTATAAATATTTAAATGCATGCAGTCTTTTCATGAAAATTGAATGCATGCTCTGTGCCAGACATTCTACTAAGGGCTGGAGATAGCAATACAAGTAAGATTCAGTTAAAGCCTTGTGTATACTCACAGCTGATTGAGGGAGACATGAACTACATTGTGCAATATTTTTATAGACACCTGTATAGAGTTCTAGGAGGAGAAAATAGGTGAGCCCCTAATTGTACCTAGTAAGAGATAGTATTGGCTAAGAAGCAGAGATAATGAATGATTGAGCTGAGTCTTAAAGGCTGACATGAATCTGGACAGGGAGATGTAGTTGGGAATAAAGTCCACACAGAGGAATGGGCATGCCCAGAGACCGAAGGTATAGAGAAGCCTAGCATGTGGCAGAGCTGCAGGTGGGTCAGTTTGCTGAAAAAGGTTCCTGGGGGACTGCACCGTGACTCAGAGACAGAAAGGTAGCTGTCTACTCCCGTCCTTAGGACACTCTTAAAAGAAGATTTTGGAATGTGTCCCATTTTTATAAGGAAACTGAAGCAGAAAGACATGCTAACAGCTCATTCTCAGGCATGAGTTTCATCTCAAGACTAAGTTGTACCATTTAATAGCAGTTCCAAGAGTCCAATATACTTTTATATAAATCCTACATTATGGATTTAAAAAGCAATATTTACCAGAATTTTATATACTATGTTCAAAATAAGTCAACCAGATGAAAATTTCATATTGCCTAAACGAATCATTCATAAAGGTGATGTTTGCACCCCAAACTAGTACATACACCATTATAACTGGATTTATCAATGAGCCAAACCATTAACTGGTGACTTCACTCAAAAGATTAGGCAAACCAGTATGCATCCCATCAAGGACACTAAGAAAGGGAGGGCAGAACAACTGATTGTCTGAAATTTTCACTTTCCAATTACTAGTCTTTTTAGTGCTAGGAAAGGAGCCACAGAATAAACTTGCAGAGGCACTTGCTTATTTGATAATAAAGAACATTATTTTTTAAATATTTTTCATGTAGTTTGAAGAAAGAGGTAGTTTATCTCTTTGAGGACATTTTGGAATGAAGGGTATTTTGAAAGTAGTAGTGAACTGGAAAGAGCTTGTGCAGCTCCCAATTTACAGAACTTGTCCTGTTTTCGAACTTATTGTGTTATGTAACTGAAGAGGATCTAATTCATCTGGAAATATCTGTTATTATATTCATGTATTTTTTAAAAGATGAAGTATGGAATGCCAAAGATAGGAAAGTTTTTCAGCATTCAACAAGCATTTATTAGGTGCCTATTTTATACCAACCTTCCCAATGTTAGCACTTTTTACACTTTTCATTCCTTAATAGACATGATACTCTTAATTTACAAACTGCCTGATGGAGTTAAAAAATGAAAATTGCCCTGAATATGACTTTATTCAACATGGAAAAAAGCAGCATGAATCACATGCTTCTCTGTTCTGATTGAAAAAAAAAAAAAAAAGATGATGAAGAAAGTCACATATATAGAGTTCTACTATGGAAGAACCAAGGATCGTCTTTCCACATTACATTGTTTTACTACAGTAGAACAAATATTTTCCAGTGTTTTTAATCATTATGGTATATAGCACTTTAAAATGAGTCTTAAGAGAGTATATGAGATGTATAACCTAATAGCCATTTGACTGGTTATCCTAATAGGGAGTGTGATTCTTCAAAGAATTTATTTACATTGTATATTACGTTATTGGATTTACAGATACATTTAACCTTTAGAAATGTGGATTGCTTCAACCTGCAAAAAAAATTGAATGGGCTTTTTTGGAAATAATTAATAGGTACCTTCTCTATTTGTGCATAATCCTATGTTGCAGTGACTGTCAGTAAGGACCACAAATGCTAATGACACTTTTCCTAGTTTTCTTCTGCTAGAAGCACCGAACTACTCTTAAGCATCAAAGGTGTTATTGACAAAACAGAAATCCAGATGTCCTTCTATAGAGAAGTGAAATAACACAGGAGTTATGAGCACAGACTCTGGAGTATAAATATAAGATATAAATCTTTACCCTACCACTTAAGTCATACTCATTGTATAAACTTGAATAAGTAAATTGCTTAATCTAAACTCAGTTTTGTGCCTCTGTAAACTCGGTTTCCAGATATGCAAAATGGGAATAATTACACCCACTTCATCAAAGTTATCATAAGCATTAAATGAATTATTTGTTTGTTTTTTTGTTTTGTTTTGTTTTTTGAGACAGAGTCTCCTTGTATCAACCAGGCAGGAGTGCAGTGGCGTGATCTCAGCTCACTGCAACCTCCACCTCCCAGGTTCAAGTGATTCTCATGCCTCAGCTTCCCAAGTAGCTGGGATTACAGGCACACGTCACAGCACCCAACTAATTTTTTGTATTTTCAGTAGAGATGAGGTTTCACCATGTTGGCCAGGCTGGTCTCCAACTCCTGGCCTCAAGTGATCCACCCACCTCTGCCTCCCAAAGTGCTGGGATTACAGGCACTGGCCTAAATGAAATTTTAACTGAATCACTTGAACTTCTTATGAAGGATAAAATAAATATCAGATGCCTTTATAATTAGAATTCATAAAAATAATACTAATAAAAACAGTATCTGTAATTCACAGTTCTTTATAAATCTCATTCCTCAGTATACTTTATTGTTTCATTTTTATGTCTATACATTAAGAGGCCAGATGAATAAGTTAAAAAAAAAATAACAGACAATAGAAAGTTCTGGAACTCTAGATGATTTTTCTTTATTCTGGAAGAATAAAGCTGTATTGAAGCAACATATAAAAACAGAATGACAACTGGGTTTTTCTCTTCCATTCATTTTTACAAGAATCACAAGCTCATCATGCCTTTTCCTGTAAGTCAAATTTAAACTCACAGTATTTCTATAGAGCATTCAAATCTTAGTATTTTAAAGATAGATTCATATAATCTACCCCACATATTACAGATGAGAAAGCTGAGGCATAGAGAAGGTGCGTAACAGACTCAATCCAGCAAATAGTAGCATAAATGGGGCTAGCACTGCCCACCCTCACGGGGTCTGCATTTGTGTTCTTCCCTGGTGTGTTGACAACCAGCCCACGGCTGCCATGTCCAGATGCAAGTCTCTTCTCTTCCCCCACCATGAGTGCCTCTGGATTGAGCTGGGAATGTTGATTGGCATAGGTTGGGTTAAACACTTCCTGTATTTTTAAACCTAATAGGCTGGTTTCACTTGTCCTTAAATATAGCCCTTACTCCTATTCCAAGCCAGGAAAATATTCACACTCAGAACTTGCAAAATGCTTGTGCCTGGGGGTCTGGTTTTATGGAACCCAGGTATGATAGTTTCAGTGGGGTGCCTTGAACAGGGTAGAAAAACCTTGACATTATTATATTAAATTTACCATTAATATAACATTTGCGTTTTAGTGTTTAGACATGGGAAATGAGTGAAACAGAGCCACAAATTTAGTTGCATTAAATAGAAATATACTGGTGAAATTGTAGTGCATTAATGTTTCTAAATATTTTGTTGCTCTTTACTAAATGATCCTGAAGAATGGCTTATATTTATCAAATTTATCCAAGCCTTCCTCATTTAACAAATATTGTTTGTTCTTTCATTTAACTTTATATTTAAAAGGTACATATTTCCTAAGGTGAGATTTTCTTGGCGTTATTTCATTTTAACACAATGACTCAACTCTTGCCAAACATACAGATTCTTTTGAAATAAATGAAGAAATACATAATCTGGAAACTTAGCCATTTCAGGTCTTAATTCACTAAAAAGTGTTGGTTCTTTTTCTTTCCTTTTCTTTGTCACCTATTGAGACAAGCATAGCTGGAGAAGAATAAAAATACATCAACTAGTTGTACCAATTCATAATCAATAAAAAGCTAAACACTTAAGTAGAAAATATATCACAGATTTGTGCCCTAGCGAAGCAGCTATTTTTACCTTGCCATCATCATCAGAAGCCGCATTCTGACAAAAATCATTTGCTTGAAGCAGCCGTGATATATAAACCCTATGTGGTCTTGTGATTCAGATTTAGGAATATCAGCCTTGGAGGGTCTAAAGGCATTGTGCATTAGTATGTATTGAGACCTCATTCCAGGTGGCAAGCAGCTGGACTTTTTAAAAATAAAACTTCCAAAATAAAGGTGAAGTGCTTGTTTCCAGGCAATACGTGTTATATTTAATTGAATCATCCTCAAAATGTTATAAATTAGGTAAAAAGGAGAGTTGTGCATATTTAATATATTTGTTTTGTATTTCCACTAGTTAACAGAATAATGAAATTCCTTAACTACTTCTCTTTAACTTGCATGAAGAAAGCACGGTATGTTGCTAAATCTCTTTTCACCAGCTCTGCGGAGAAACAACTTTAATCCTTGTTAGAAAATTGCCGAGTCTGGGACTGACAAAGAGCTCATGCTTGTTCTATTGTTAGTGCTCCCCGGCCCCAAGAGCAGAGCCCTTTACAGCTGCGTGGATCCCGCCCGGCTCAGCTGCACTATTTAGGAGATGAGGTTTGTCAATTTCTATTGACAATGGAAAGAGTTTTTCAGGGCCTGTAGCAGTGCTGACACAGTTGGGGATCAATGCCAGCCATTCAGACTGCACCCTCTTTCATTGCTTTGGTTTGTTAATTCAAGACTAAAGGTCCACTGAGGGGGTTCAGGGTGTTTAAGAAAGCTGATGAACTGTTTAAGAAAGCTGATGAACTGCAAGCGTTTATAGCCCTGGTGTGGCAATTTCCATAGTCAGTGGCAACTCCTGGCACTGAGGGAGCTGTGTCCTTGTTGACCCTCTTGTTATTAAAAATGCACAAGTGCTGCGCTTCTCAATATTTCAACACTCTTTCATTGTCAATACCACCTTCTGAGCCCTTCAGCTTGTTGCTTGCTCTAAAGATCTTCTTAGATTGGGTTTGAAAACCTCACCTTAAACACTAGATTAGACTGATGTTCTGTTTTCCGTGCTCCTGTTGATTTGTTGAACCTTCCCAGGGCTGGAAAGCAAGTAGCAGCTTGATGGGGAGGCGGGCTGCTAATATGATTTACCAGTCTACAGTCATGCACAATAAGTGTGAATAAATACAGGGGTCTCACAGAGTCAACCCTAGCCTTTCCCTTTCTTCTATTTTTGCTTTAAAAGAGATATCTCAAGAAAATGCAGTGAGTAACGCATGCCCTTACAGGAGTTGAATGAACCACAAAAAGAAGAAAAAAACATATTTTTGCTAAAGTGGTAGGCTGCTGTCATGGATTGATGTAGAAAAAATTTGTAAAATATACACTTACTGCTTTATTCCTGTGTAGACCAAGGCAAAGAATAAAGCAGTAATGCCATTCCCATACCTTCTGTGCAAGCTGCGGCACCCCTTCCTTTTCATCCCCTGTGGAGAAAAGTGAATGGTCAACCAAGTTGTTTTATAAAATTAACTTTTCCAAAGTGAAAAGGCACTTTCTAACATGGAGACTTTACTGCACATTCACCCTTTTCCAATTTTTTGTTTGGTTTGGTTTGGTGGAGGGGATTGGGGAATGGAGAGAACCTATCTTTGACTTTTTTCTCAGTGTGAGAAAATGGGACCTACCATATTCAGTACTCAAAAGGAGGACGTATTAATCCCAGCACTAGAAATAAGAAAGTGCTAGAGGTTTCTGTCTGGTGGCTTTCATTGTTTGTTTAAGGTGTGTGCGTGCGTGTGTGTGTGTGTGTGTGTGTGTGTGTCTGCATTTTACTGTATACAAGAAAGCAGTCATAATGGGATTTTTGTTGTTGTTAGGCTATTCTTAGTGGCAGCAAATATTCTGAGCTAAGTTGCTGCTTTTCCTTAATCATTTGCTTAATTTGAAGTGTGTCTTGAAAATGCTTTGACTTAGGAGCCAAAATATACGTTCTTATTTGATAGAATAATTTTTTCTTATTTGATAGAATAATTTTTTTCTTAGAAGCTTTTGCTGATAGAACAATTTATTGTCCTTCAAAGTAAGATGATGATAAATAGCTTAAACATTTTACTTAATAATAGTTCTCTTTTTCTGTTTTTGCAGTTAACTTTAGATCATTTTATTCCCAAATTCTTTTTCTCTAAGATTATTTTTCTCTAAAATTATTATTTTGGCATTGTATTAAATAAGTTATATATAAATGATTTCTGTGTTACATTATATGTCTTTTCAATTATCACTTAATTATAAGTACCATTTTATATATAATGGAAAAATGAAGTTAATTTTAAATTATATAAGGATTTTCAAGAACATAAAGATGCATATAGAGTAATTTTAAGAAAGTTTTTTCATTTCCCTCAAATTTATACAACTTACCAAGTTACAGTAACTGTGCAGTCTAACAGAGTAACCAGTATGTTATGTTAGGCTTCGTAAAATATATATAGTTTCTCTCCTTCAACAAGAAAGAAATATTTACTATCCCTTGCAAAATAACTGTAATTTTTAAGAGTCACATCCATTATGACAATATTTTCACTTTCAAATTATCTAGAGTGTGGTGTGGTAGAAGGGCCTCAATTGACTGTACTCATATTCAATATCACCAATACTTGTGAGTGAGTGCCTGTATTAAAATAGAAATCAAGAAGTTGAAGCTGTAAATTATTTGAAATAAGTAGCATAGAATTTAGTGTCGGAAATTAAAGTATCTATAAAAGATTTTGAGATTTAACGTGCCAGTTAAAGTATTGAATTTACTGGAAGTTTACTTTTTTAAGGATTTTGGAGTATGACTGTCTTGTTTTATAGAACTGCTGAAATTTTTACATGTCCTGAATATTAGGAAAGTGCTCATTAGGAAGGAGCAAAATTAGATACAGGAATAACATATTTTTAAAAAATCATGGTCCATCTCACATTTTTAAAACTTGAAGCTTTTATTTATCCATTTGATTGCTATTATTTAGTATATCAGTTATCCATTTAAATTAGCTTATCTCATTTGATGCATATATGTTCATTATACTAACAAATTAATGGAAATAAGCATGGTAAAATGTAAAATTCATTTTTAATTTATACTTAAAATACCATTTCTTGTTAAACTAAATTGTATTGGATCAATGTTAATAAATATAAATCCAGATGAATTTCAGACTTGGATCAGTGAAAATTTATTTTAGAAGTTGAATTTATGGTTTTATTATGTAGAGAAAATTTTTTTTCTAATTTTTTTTCGGTGTTTAAATTCTTTAGAACGTATGCACACACATATGTGATCTGGACTGTCATTATGTTTGTGTATACAAGCAAGGCACAAAATCTCCTGTCTTTCAAAACTCTTTTGTCATTTTCTAAATGCTGAGTGGACATTGATATTTCTCACTTTTATCTGAATGAGTAGCATTATTCTTAGAGTGTTATCTAAACCTAGCTCTGAATCACTGTGTCCCTTAAAAATGTTATTTGTAATGGCAGATTGTCTTTTTTTGAAAACAGGAACAATATTTTCTTTTACTAGACTGACAGACATATAGGAGCAGAAAATTGCATTAAAGAAGAATTTCAGTTTTTCTCTTAAGAGAGTTGTAATAAACAGAAAAATTATGGACCCTCCAAAAATACAAAATGAAACACATCCTTTTCATTCATAATTTGATCAACTGACACCTATTTTGTGATTCTTACAAAAATTCAATCTTGATAATGTTTCTTCCTAAGATCTCAATAAATCTTTATTTTAGATGGTTTTAAAAGAGCTTGGTAAATATTTAATTGATAAAGGTGTGATTGAGGATTACTGTTTAAGTTGTAGATTTTTTTTTTTTTTTTGCCATCGCTACTTTAAAATGTAATTTTAGGTATTGACTACATGACTTATAGCATAACACATCTTCTTTTTGATTTTTATGTAACATGCAGGCTAATAGAAAATTTTCCTTTGAAAATAATTTACCTCTTTTTTCCTGCTGCTTGGCTGTCCATTCAGTCCTATAACATGTATTTAGGATCCTTTGTTATTTACAAATTACAAAGCAGGCCACTAGGCTGCAAAGTGCAAAAACACTGTTTCCGTGAATATGTTACAGCTGAAAGACTGTAACGTTAATTCATTTAAAGAACAGCCTAGGTCAACTTAACAGATTTTCTAGCAAAGCATACAATTCTGTTAACAGGAAATTATAGCATTATTGACTTCAAGTGCTGATCTGTGGTCATTTCAGAGTGTTTTATTACCCCCTCATTATCGAATCTGTTAAATGAATACTGCAGAGGTTGTTTTCTTTTTTTGTTCTCCTCCCCTGTGCCCCAATTCTCCCTTCTAGCAATGGTACAGCAGTTCCATGAAAGTCATTTGCGTGTGGTTGACTGATAGATTAGACCTCCAACTCCATATTTACCAGCTGAAGACGCTCATCAAGATTGTGAAGGTAAACAAAATGTGTTTAGATATGAATTGCCCACTAAGCTATAAGGAATAATGGCAAGATACTGACATACAAGAAAACTGTATTTGATGTAACTAAAAAGTATCACTTATTAGCAATGATGTGCTACTGTTTACTTCCACGTTTAGTTAGATTAATAAATGAATATAAATTTATCTTTTTTGCACTAATAAAAAAAATTTGCTAGCAAATACTCACAGTTTGAGATTAAATACATAAAGCCCCAGCACAGTTACCTGAAGGAAGTAGGTTCACAATAATTTTACATTAATTTTCTTAAGCATATGAATGTTTTATCATAATACAATTACTTCATATTTATTAGGATCATATATCATTGTGAGGGCTTTTGTACTATATTTGCCAGAAGAATAAGGAGAGTCTCAGTTATTTTATTATATGCTGGTACGAAAGTAATACATTGTCATTGCCCAAATCCTTTTGGAAGCATGCCTCTTATATGTAAAAGGTAATCAGTTTGAGTGTTGGAGACCACCCAAAACTACTGACATAGACATCACATAAGTTCGGCAAGGCCATTTTGACTTTAGCTCTTGAAGAGAAAAGCTAATAAATTACATGTCATATTTAGTGAGTAAGATCTATAAAATAATATATTATGCATAATTTTTCACACTTTGTAAATTCTAATGTAAGTACAAAATTTACCCCAAGTTTAACCTTTTCTTAAAATTGGGACAGAAATTTCACCTTATGGCAGAAAACATAACTCTAAGCTATTGAGAATCACCTATTTATTTAAACAAAAGACCTTTACTTTCATTATAGTACCATTTATTAGTAGTATATATGTGTGTATGTACCCACACACATAATGTGTGTATATATGAGTATACACAGTAGTTTGCAAAGTGTCATTCCTCACCTACCACTATCATCATCACCTGGGAACTTGTTAGAACCACAAATTCTTGGGCCCCACCCCAGACCTACTGAATCAGAAATTCCGAGGGTGGAACCCAGTAATCTATAGATTAACAAGTCCTCCAGATGGTTCTAATACATGAAAACATGCTAAAGTTTTCAAAGACCCACTGTGTTACATCATTAAAAGATGTTTCTAGCCACATTAAAATATTTTCTTTATTCCTTTGGTTCCTACAGTCTAATTAGAATACAAATTATTTTTATGCCTGCTTGTTGATCTTGTTAGGCCCACAAATAGGAAAGTTCTGTTCCAAAGTCAGAAATTGGCAAATCTACTGGAAAGTAGAACCAGACCTAAAATGCCACAATAATAGCAATTATGATTACTCATAAATAACAAGTAAAATTATAGCCACTCACAAAATTTTAATACTATAGCTACACATTACATGTCAATGGAGAAAATAATTTTGATCCAGAACACTTCTTATATGGTGTTATTTATTTTACAAAGAAACTGAAAGGACAATATGATAGGTTCATAATTGGCTTAGTTCTCCATTGTTTCTTGTTTCTATAAATGTGACTTGAAGAGCTTTCAAATGAAGTTTGTTCTTCAGAAAAGAGAGTCAGGATAATGTATTTGCCATATATATATATATATATATATATATATATATATATATATATATATATAAAATATACATATGTATATAATATGCATATATATACACATACATAACAGTTGTACTTTATGCAGTGATTAATATTACAATTAGCTGTTTATCCTTATGATAAACCATATTTTCAAGCTAATGCCTACTGTGTTCAAGATTTCAGAAGTTACATATTCAGCCTCCTGGTGTTAGCTGATAGATTATTAAGCTCTTTGTTTTGAGAATAACAATCTCCACATTAGCCCATGATTTGTTTCTTTCAAAGTTATTCCTCATTTCCACACATCTTTATAGTTAAAGATTAAGCAAGAGTGAAATTTTTTCATTTTATTGAGGTATAATTTAAAAGTAAAAATTTTTATATACTCAAGATATACAGTGTGACTTATTAATGTATACTTGAAATTTGCTAAGAGAGTAGATCTTAAGTATTCTCACTAGTGAATATTTTAGCATAAAAGAACAATAATTTTATTAATTATATAGTGACATTTCCATTTTACTGTAAGTCAGTATATCTTCTTTAATATATTCTTCCTAATGATCAATATTTGACCAATAAATATGAAATTAATTTTCATGAATATGTTGATTTTCCATGTTTTACTTTTCACAGGCAAGTCTCCAGGCTTAGCCAATGTGTTCTTGGGCTGATACATTTAATCAAGTCATAGGGCTCTATTTAATAATTAGAAATAATTATTTTCACAATAAAACTCAAAGTGAATTAATAATTTAATGTTCTAATTGTTTTTTCTACTTTGAATATAAACAGACTTTTAGCCAATTTCATACATAGATTCATTATTCTTCAGAACTTACATGGTTTTGCTTATAATGATCATTTCCCAGTGAATTTAAGAAGCTGTTGAATAACACATGTAGAGAATTGTGAAGGCCCATAACCAGACTTTCCTTCCATCCAGGTCACTTAGACTTGGCCTGCATGGTTCAGCAGAGTAGTGTATTCTACCCAGGACCCAAACTACTTGCTGTTAGTAGTCTTGTCCTTACTACTCACAGGGATTGCCATTCTTCTATGCCCATGGAGACCTAGATGCCATCAAAATTTATGTAATAGCCAACTTTACCCTAAACAAAGACACTTATACACCAATTGGTTCATTCATGTTGCACACTAAGAAAAAAACAAATCCCAGAAAGGGTTACACAAAAAATTAAAGACTGAAATTATTTGCAAAGTTTTTACCTTAGAATGATTTTTTGGGGGAGGGGAAAAGTGAAACCCTCAAATAGTCAAAATGGTTGTGTTTGTGTTCTCCATAGTGGCCACATGACATTAAATGCAGTTAACATAAATCACCTGCTTCTTTTGCTAGGAGAGAAAAAGTGAACAGAACTCTGTGGCAGGCACTTGTCTTAAGCAAGAGCCAACCAAACCTTTGTGGAAGCCACAGGGAACATCCAAGTGTCAATAACATTTTATGAATTCTAAAGACAGAGAAAGAGATTGCAAGGCTAGCTGCCTAGTATCTCACCCAACTGGTTATTGCTTGCTAATTGAATAAGAAAGCGGTCTTAATTATATATAAATTAGAAAGCCTTCAGGACTGCAGATCCACAATTCAAATCTGCTCTGGCCAACTTACTGGTAATTAAGCTAAGTCAAAGGAAAGTCATTCCAATAAAATAAGAAAGTTGAACTCAAAAACTCAGTATATAATTGTTAGTGGAACAATAATACTTTACATTAGATGCATCATCTGTAGGTGAATACTTTATGTTTGACATGTTTAATTACAAGAGAGTTATAGGAATAAACACAAATCTTTGTGGTAATAATGCCATGTTTATCAGTTTCCAGATTATCTAGACAAAACATACCTTTCAGAATTATCTCACTGGTTCTGATGCAAATTACAGTGAGTTTTGGTGTAAGAGAGTACTACCTTAGTCATAATAACTTATGACTTAGAATGAGCTTATTATGACAAAATCATATCCCACAAAATGAAATATCTTCATTTGTTGTTTCCCCATTTAACTAACTGAACTTTTTCTCCTACTTTAAAAATCAGTAGTAATAAAATACCAGTCATGTTTAGCTGCAGAAAATTATATGTGAAGAAGATTACACTTTAAAAAGTGAACATGGCTGAGTGCTGTGGCTCACGCCTGTAATGCCAGCACTTTGGGAGGCTGGGGTGGGCGGATCACCTGAGTTCAGGAGTTTGAGATCAGTCTGGCCGATAGAGTGAAACCCCAAAAACACAAAAATTAGCTGGGCATGGTGGCATGTGCCTGTAATCCCAGCTACTCGGGAGGCTGAGGTGGGAGAATCACTTGAACTGGGGAGGCGAAGGCTGCTGTGAGCCAAGATTGTGCCACTGCACTCCAGCCTGGATGACACAGTGATACTCCATGTCAAAATAAAAACAAAAAAAAGAAAAGAAAAAAGTAAACATGGCCAGGCACAGTGGCTCAGGCCTGTAGTCCCGGCACTTTGGGAGGCTGAGATGTGAGGATCATTTGAGGCCAGGGGTTCAAGACAAGCCTATGCTACATGGCAAGACCTTGTCTCTACAAAAAAATTTAAAAGTTAGCCGAGCGCAGTAGCACACACCTGTGGTCCCAGCTCCTCAGGAGGCTAAGGTGGCAGGATTGCTTCAGCCTGGGAGGTCGAGGCTGCAGTAAGCAATGATCACACCGCTGTACTCCAGCCTGGGTAAGAGAGTGAGACCTGTCTCAATCAGTCAATCAATCAGTCAATCAATCAATCAATGTAAACATAAGGGAAACATTATAGATTAATATTTTAAGTGCCACAGAAAAATATTGTTGGATTTTGTTGTCTTGAAAATCATTGTACAAACAATAACATGGTACTCTATTTTTGATACATAATACAGCAAATTTTAATGTATTCTTTTAAGAAAAAATGTAAATACTTGTTTTGCTGTCCCATCTATGGAAGCTTTATGTCAGAATTTGGCACTTCACATCCCAAGGGAATTTCAAAAGAAAAGGGCAAAATTCATCCAGACATTTAGATGTACACAAATTTTTATCCAGTGGTACATGTAAATAAATTTTATAATTCACTGAAATGCTGAAAATGTGAACTTCTTTTACCGATAATAGGATTAATCTTCTTCCTCCACACAACTGACCCCTCAAAATTAATGCATTTTATAAAATATAATGTATTTTTCAGTATTAAAGGAAAGCCCCCTCAATTAAAAAAACTAATAATTTCTTATTAAAAACTTACACAGGTACATATTTTATTTTTGCTACAGGTTGTTCAAAAGGTAAATTGTGTGCAATTAGTAATGTTCTGAGGGGAAAGTGAATTTGTCATCTGATAGTAACAACATTTTGATGTAGTCATAGTAATTGTAGTTTGAAGCAATAGCCAGAGTCTGTCATTCCATTTACTCCCCAGAAATACACCAAGAAGATGATTGGCATGGACAGCCACATGAACCTATCAGTGGATTCCCCAAGATCATTTTTGAAATGCCAACTGAGTATATATCTATGTACACGCATATAATCTAAGTGAGCTAAGCAAATTTTATCTTCTTTCTTCAGAAAACCTACAGGGACTTTCGATTGCAGGGTGTGTTGGAAGGAACACTGAACAGTAAGACTTATGATACTGTGCACAGACGTTTAACAGTAGAGGAGGCCACAGCCTCTGTTTCAGAAGGAGGAGGACTTCAGGGCATTACTATGAAAGACAGTGACGAAGAAGAAGAAGGCTGATATCACACAGCTTTGCAGAAGGAAGGAAGACCTTGATCGACATTGTTTTTTATTTTTTTAACCTTGTCCTTGTAATTACATTCATTGTTTGTTTTGGCCAAATAAAAATGCTTGTATTTCTTTAAAAAGTAAGCCTGAATGTAGAGTAAAAGGGGAAATGCCAAGATTTTGGGGTTTTTTTGTTTCCTTTTTTTGTTTGTTTGTTTGTTTGTTTTTTTGGAGAAGAGCATCCTCTTTTGTGTAGTTTGACCTAAAAATGAACCTTGGCTCTGCTTGTGATCAGAACATGAACTTTTTTTTTTAAAGAAGATTTGAGCATTTTTCTGTAATCACATCAAAATGATGTTTTCTGTGTAAAGCGAGATACATATTTCTCATAATGCAGCATTGTGAGAAGTCAGTTCGGACCACTGCACCAACACTGTCGTATCCTTGTTAAAATGGTGTGTACCTTACAAATTATAATTTATGTGCCAGGTTCGTTTTGTACTTAATTTGCTATTATTGTGATGTGTATAAAATCTTTAATCTTGGTTCTTAGTACTTTGAATTGGTCTACAGGTATATTCCTGGGATGAAAGGATTGCCAAACCCAAATATAGACTAGATTATCCAATGGGTTTGTGTCTTTGTTCCATTCTCAACATTTCTTCTTTCAACTATAAGTAATCCCCAGGTGTGGGGTAGCAAGTGTGCTTCCGTCAAGATACCATATTCTCCTGCTCCAGTATAACAGCTTGCAGGCAATAAAAATCTATTTGCTCATAACTACTTCTGTATTTATTAGACTTATATAGAGCAAATGCAGTAAAAGAGGTTTGCAGTGTTTCAAACATCCCAACTATCTGACTCTGTGTTTTTGTTTCTTGAGTTTTTTGTTTGTTTTGTTTGTAATATTTTGTTTTTAATCAAATGAGTAAAAGATAGTAACACTGACTGTTCTTTGTACCTAATAGGCACATACATTGTTAAAAGAATTACTATGACAGCATATTTCCATAGCAGAGGAAATATATATTTCATATATTATTAGTTAATATTAGTAATCAATGTTAACTAATAATTAGTAATGTTAGTAATATTAACTAGTAATTCACATTATTAGTGGTTCTCTCAAAATATTTTCTTGCTAGGGTTTGAGAGATAATTGTATTATGTTGCGTAAGTTCTCTATGAATTATTTTTGTGATATTTCCCAAAACATATTGGCAGATTGTGCTACTGCATTTATTAATAAGTAATTTTTAAATGAAGGCAGTTAATGCAGAATAAGTGGAGGTATCCCTGCATTTATGAAAACGTTTATTCTGAAACTTTAGAAATGAAACAACTTGGACCTCCAGATTCGTTCTCCCATGGTGTAATAAGTGGTCGTTAGGTACCTAGACTAGCCTTAAAAATCTATTTAATCTACAGTTACTATTTAGCATTGTTTTGGCTCATTTTCTGGGCCCTAGGGCTAAGATAACAAACAAGGAAATTTCTTCCTTCTTCCGGGATTAAAGACTAACTCTACCAACTCACTATCTTTGAAAGGCAGTTTGGGAATGTTCTCCCTCCTTTTCTTCTCTATTCACACACCAAATACTATTTTCTCCAAACCCTCAAATGTCCAGTCATGCTATCCCAAACTCTCCAATGGCACCATCCCCAAGCTTGCTGTTCCACGACACATTGCTCTGTACTTAGTAATTACCCACCCTTCTTTTCCTTTCAATAAAATGTCCATTTCCTTGATACAGATCATCTCCAAATAATGCATCCCTTTTGTCCTGAAGTGTAACTAACTGATGACCTCAAATGTATTAAAAGTCGGCCTTTGTTAAAGAAAAGTTTATTTACTCTAAGAAATGACAGCTGACAGAATTCAGAAATAAAGAAGAAAAGCAGATGCTGCAGGGGAAAGTATTTGCGGCCTGGAGGTTCTTGCTGCTGACCTGGCCTGTTTAACCTGCCCATTGGCCTCCTTGGCTGGTCAGCCCCTTTGAGGTTCTTTCCAGATTTTTATGTTCTCTGCTACTTCCCTTCTACACCCAGGAGAGTCCTAAAAGCTTGTTCCCTACTCTTCACCCACAGTGGCTTCCAAAGCAAAGGCAATAGCAGTCAGGCAGGTAGTGGAGCTACTTGCATCCTTATGAGAAAATCGGAGACCAACCTTTGATCCATAAAAAAGATGTATGAAAAAATTCATAAAGTAACTGAAAAATAATGAAAAGTGATTTTTAAGTTTTTCCTCCAAACTAACTTCAAATTGAACTAATTGCAAAGTGCTTGAAATGACTTAATAATTGTTCATTGATGGGTATAACTATTAGGATGAACACCCAAGCATCTGTCTATTAAAGGATGCCACATCTTATGTGGTATTAACTCTTTTTAAGGATTATTTTTTAAGAAAATGGATTTAGTCAAAGGCCTAACAACTCTTGCAGAATTTTTTAAGTGAAACAATTTTGTCTAAAAAGAAATAGCTATACCCGTCTAAATGATTTGGGGGAAGGGCAAACAGGTACATTATTTGGACAGTTTCCTTAGTGTTGCAGGAGATAATTAATACCATCTAACATCCAACCGGAATGGGTTTGTTAAGTAATACGTCAAGAAGGAAAATTTTTTCAAACACTTGAAGAAAAAAAAAATAATAATGCCTATTCCTGGAAAAGGAAAGAACCATGCAGAGCTTAATGTAAACCTCTTGGCTCCAGCAGTGGGTCTTTCTTGTATTCACTGATTTTTCCACTTGAATTCTCTTTAGTCCTTGCTCATTGTCCCTCTCTCAGGAGAAGGGAGTTCCCGCTTCTTTTGCAATAAACGCCCAGTCAAAGCGTCTATGTGCTGCCACCCCGCCACCCAGGGTCACAGTCCAGCCTGGCCTGGCGCCGCCCTCAGCCTGCAGCTACCGGCGGTGAGAGGGTCCACCGGCTCCTTGAAGGTGTGCTTGAGAGGGAAAGAGGTCACTCAGCCGTCGTTGCTCAGAGATCCTCGAAGCCCCTTTGCGCTGCCGCGGTCTGCCTCCCGAGAGGGCCTGGGGACAGCAGGCGCGGGGACCGGACCGAGCAAGCCCGGAGTTCACAGGAACCCCGCGCCCCCGAGCTCGGACCCGTCCTTCTGATCCCGCCAGCCCGCGTGGAAGGGCCCGCGGGGGGAAATTAGGGCAAGAGCTTGGTCGCTTTTATTTCTTATTCCCAAAACAGAAAATGGAAATTTCCCGGTCCGGGTCCTTAAAGGGAGGTGATAGATCGATGTTCCGGAGAGATGTTCGCGCTCGACTGGCGGCGGGGCATCTGCGCGCCGGGATAGCAGCCCAGCCTGCCAGCTTGCGCTCTGCGCCTCTCGGCTCTCAGCAGCTCCAAGCCCCCGCCACAGCCCTCCGCCACCCACCCCACTTTTGTGAAGAAGTTGGAGGCCTGGCGTGTGGGGTTTCCGGGAGGCCGGTGGTCATCCAGTCTTTACATAGAGTTCCCCTACGACCATCACCGGTACTCTGTACCAGTACTATGCAAGAAAACGAAGTCGCTAATGCGCCTCCTTTTCCCTTCAAGTCCCGCTCGCAGTAACCTTCGAGGAAGAGCCGCGACCCATTTGGCCCCCGAACTTTGCTACAGATGGAGTCGCGTCCACAGGCCTGGGCGGCCGGGCAGTAGCGGAGAGGGGTTGAGAGCAGCGACGCCCTCGAGGGGCATGGCTGGGCAGGTGCCCCAGCAGGAGCTCAGAGCGAGACTTTCTCTGGGATACCCCAGCTTCGGATTGAAGATGGGGAGCAGGGCTGCCTTAAGCTGTTCTCCTCTGTGACATTGAGTAAAATATTAAGGGAGTAGAGGCGAGAGCGAAACTCTGAACCTGGGTTCCAGATGTCACCAGAGGGTCAACCGCTCATTGGCTTTCAGGGAGTAGTCACCGGAGTGCGAGCATGTGCCACTGAGAGATGAGGAGGTGAGGGAAGAATTCGGTATGTTTCCCAAGTGAAGAAGACCTCCGATTTTACTACCCAGATTTGGGTGTACCTGACAGCAGCTTGGACAACCGCAGAGCCCCAAGCTTGGAGTCAGAAAGTCTGGGTTTGGATACTAGTAGCCACATCCCTTCCCCAAGTCTGAGCCCTGAGTACTTGGACAAGTTACTTAACCCCTCTGTAAAATGGGCACTTCATAAGGAAGGTTGCTGGAAAGATTAGAGACGTCATAAGTGGTGGACATTATTAACTGTTTCTTAATGTATGAATGGATTCGAAAGAAATCGTGGGAGGCTGGCCTCTGCCAACATGCACCACCAGTCTCACCGGCCATTCTCTCTGAGGTTGGCACAGGGTCCTTTTGGATCACACGCAGCTCTGAGGATCTTCAGCCTAGCCCCTGGCGTGTCTGTGAACTTGCTAGAATTGTCCAGTTCTCCGGTTATATATATGGCCAGCCCGATGGGAGGAGAGGAGGAGACGGGGAGGGGCAAGGGAACTCTGGTCTCAGAAAGGGCCAGCATCGCTAACAGCAGCCCCTGTGGCTGCGGTTGGGAAGGGAGGTAGCTGGAGATGTGTTATTGAGTCCACTTGCAGATTATGTTGGTCAAGGGCTCTGAAATGGGACGGGGATGATCCAGGAGGTGCCAGATCACAAGCGAGGAATCTCAGGCCTCGGCTGTTGTGGTCAGTGCGTTGAGTTCAAGGGAATTTCAGGTGCAAATGGTGTTCATTAATATTTTCCAAGGCTTATGGGAGCCTAGAACGATGTCCTGCGTCCCAATTCAGGGATGCAACAGAAGGATACACTTGCAAACTGCAAGCGGAACAGAGAGAGAAAGGCAGAGGGGTCCACACCCTTCAAGGTGGCCCCAGCTGCGGAAACCAAGCACGAGAGAGAGAGAGAGAGAGAGAGAGAGAGAGAGAGAGAGAGAGAGCGCACAAGCGCTTAGGGCGACTGCCAGCACCGACTCCTGCCCGGAGTTGCTGGACTGCAGTACTTCTAGGCTCCCAGGAACACTTGAGCAACGCGGCGGCACAGGGTGGGGCAAGGGTGCGCCCCAGGGTCACAACCCAGCACGTCGGTGGCATGGGAGACGCGCGCCCTGGCGGTCTGGGGGTCTAGCACTCTGTGGCCTTGGGGAGGTAGAAACTGAGCACTCTGGAAAGGGGAAGAGACCGTGCCTGGCATTAAGCTGGGACTGGAGCCACTTGTTTAACCCGACTGGTGGTCTCCCCCCAGTCATTTTTTTAAAGTAGCCAGCGGCAGCTTCTGAGTCCTAGACCCAGTGACTCAATACGATGACGTCTTTTATCTCCCTGTACTTTGCAATTTTGCAGTGAGGATAGTTGTATTTGTGTGCTTATTTTTAAATAAACGTATTCTAGACTTGTCCCCAATCTCCGTCTCCGTTGATTCTCCCTAAGATCAATGATTCTCATATTAAGAGGAAGTGAAGAGTTGGTTTCAAGAACCATCAGACAAAGCAGTTACTCTTCCCATAGCCCTGGCCTAGGGTTGTTTATGGAGCCCCTACACATAGATGACATCAATATCTCCCTGTGCAAAAATTTAAAGTAGTGTGTCAAATTCTTTTCTACTCTAAATCAATGATTTCCCCTTTAGCACGACGTCTCTCTTCTCTCTCTACAAATAACATCTCTTTTGGGTGAGACTGAAAAAAAGGAGACTTGATTAAATGCTGAAGAAATGCTAAAGTTTATTCTGTAGGGCATTTCCTTAATATGCCAAGGAACCAAAACCAGTTGTAACTTCGGAAGGATATTTTGGTAGGGAGGTAGAAAATGTTTCAGTAAAGAAAGTTTCATGGTAAAATGTCACAATCTAACAGGACTGAATCTCAAAAAGTGGAAAGTGTAACATGGAAAGACCAACTGAGCGGGCAGATCATGGGAGAGTAGGGTTTTTTTTAGGTCCTGCCCGCTGGACAACCGGGTAATAATTTTTTAAAACAACTTCAAAGTTGCTGTATTGAAGAAGTGTATTCATTGTCATTTACTTAAACTCATTTCTTTTGTTACTTCATGTGATTACTAGGTGTGTTCTTTCATAAAATTAGAATAGTCTATAGAAAGTTGATTAATTTTACAAATGCATAACCACTTCTTAAGAAATGAAATCTGCTTTAATCAAATTGGGATTTTGTTTGAAAAGTTTTTGCTAAGGTTTCTTCTGTAGATTCTCCTGAATCTACAGAAGAAACTGTTCCCCCAGGAACACAGTACTGAATATGGGAGAGCAGATGTCTAGGCACAAGGAAAGTACTTGAGGTTGTGAAAAATACATAGCAAATATGATTCCTGTGTATATTTTAACATTTCCATGTGATTAACCTGAAATCTATCATTGAGCAGAGGAACTGTTTTTAAATCCAATTGTCTGAATAATATTTTGGAAAAATGTATAGCTAACTTTTTAATAAGGTGATAGCCTTTCATATGTAAAGTGGTTTTATTTTAAAATTTCTTTTCAATGTCAATGTCTCCTCTGAATGAAGGGGGCTTTTATTTAATCCCATTTTACAGAAAAAACAAAGGGGAACAACCACTATCCACTACTCAACAAGGAGTTCACTAGTTGTGTGGCCTTCCTCAAGTTGGGGTACTTGGGCTGGAAGGCCAAGACAGCACCAGAAACTAGCAACATTTATTCTAGTGCTCAAAATGTCCGCGACAAATTGGCCTTCTGCATATTTATGAAGACCTTTCTCAGAAAGGAAGACCAGTTGTGTACAATTTCAACAGATAATTGAAGAATCCAGCTTTAAAAGGATACTGAGGAACAGGGTGAATAAAGAGGTTTATATTTTACCCTTGATCAGGGCTGCATTATTAGTGATGAGGTGGGGGCAGAATAGATAGCATACTTTTTGAAAAAAAAGTTCACATTTTCTCATCTTAAGTTCCCATCTATATGTTTTAAATTAAAATCTTTATAAATTTCTTTAAAATAACTGCAAACTACTGATGGATTAGATGAAATGTTAGAGAATATGGCCAACTTTGGGTGTGTATTTTGCAGAGAAATGGGAGCCCCAGAAAACTAAAATTCAGAAGGCAAAGAAGGGAGAAGAAACCTCTTTCCCATTTCTGACTTCCAGCCACCACTACTCCCACACTGAAACAATAAGAGTGAAGGGCTCAATTGCACACCCACTGTGGTGCCATTTACCTTTCCAAGTGACTATGGGAGTCAGGCTCACTTGGAGGAGGCGCAGCGAGAAAGACCAAAGGGCACCTGAGCCTCTACCCCTCTTAACTAAAATAAGGGGATGCTGGGATCCTACCATCCCTGCCCCTGACTTTCCTTTTGCCCTGTGTCCCAAGGGGAGGTCGGGGGAGGGGGGGAAGGGGGGACTGCAAATAGAGCTCCAAAATTTGAATTACTGGTGGCATCTAGAAGAGTTCAAATGTGGGAAGGAGGGGTTGGGGGATTCAAAAAGCAACTACAGCAATCACATGTATTTTGCTGCTGCTGTATTTTACTTCTCAGTCCTCTATTTGAGTTGGCAAGTAGGAGTTGAGTTGACAGCAGGGTCTCTCTTTCAGTAGACATTGTGACCTTCACTTATTTAAGGAAATAATAAATTGGAATTTCCTATTAAAGGGCAATGACTTTGCTTTTAAAATGAAAAGCTCATGCCAATCAAATAAAAAGGAAATAGATACTTTGGAGAGTGAAGGACCCCAATTATTACTATGCCTGCACCTTTTGTACACAACATATGCTCTTAAGTTTTTTAAAAAAATCCTTCACCATTATTCAGAAATCTAAATCAACATTATTAAAGTCAATTTCTCTTTCTCTCCCTTTTTTCTCCTTCCTTTCCTCTCATTTCAACAGTGGTATGAGAGTTCAGATATTCTCTGCCGTGAGTAAAAAGCTCTGGAAATCAGCTATTGTGCCAACACCGGGAACATATCCAGGCCCATGGTGCGAAAATGAAATATGTGCTGTTGAATTATTATTTTTGTCCTTAAGGTTTACATCTACACCCTTGTATTATGTAAATTTCTGAGAAGCTGTGAATCACAAGGTTAGATAAAAGAGGGTCCCCCCCAACCCCCTCAACTCTCTCCCTCCTCATCCGTCTTCGCAAGCAACGGGAGCCGACCCCATTTAATCTTTGAATGATTCTCAGCCTTGTTCCTTTCTTTTTCCGGCTTTTTACCCCAGACCTCAACTTCCCTTCCCACCCTCGACCCAACGAGAAGGCAGGGGCCAGAGGCCGCGGTTGCAGCCCGGGTCCCCGCAGCTGGCCGCGTTCGTGACGTCAGCCGGCCGGCCCCTCGGGTCACCGTGGCCGCGGGACGCTGTTTGCGAGCTGCCAGCGTCAACACCCGCGCGGGGCGCTTAAAGCTTCGCGTTGTTTCCAGGAGCCTTTTCCTCTGTGTGGGACTGCTGAGAAACTATGAGGGCAGCCCCACTGTTCGTGAATTCAGAGAATTAACTGAACTTGAAGTAAGAGGAGACAGTGGGAAGAGGGAAAAAAAAAATCTTCTAAATTAATTTAAAGTGAGAAGGCAATAACATTTTAAAAGGTAGTAAGATTTCTTAATGATGGATCAAGCCTCTTCTTGGGATTGGATCTTAGTGCTCAACTCTTGAAACATGCACAAGGCGTGCAGAATCTGGTCTGGGAGAGGCCTAAGGGCGGGAAGGGAGGAAACAGAACAGCATCCACTTCCATCAACAAAAGGGGGCCGGCCAGTGGCTGAGTGCTTCCTCTTTTACAGAGGCTATGGAGGCCCGCGAGAGGTGGCCACGGGGTATGGCCCTCTTTGGACAGCCATGAAATACTCTCTTTTAGAGGAGATGCAGGGTTTCACTGGGAGAACTCGGGAATGAAAGAACAAATTGGAGAGTAAAGCCAAAGAAGGGAAGGTAGAAAGGCCTTTCTGTTAAGGTCTTAAACAGGAGAATCTAGTTAGAAAATTCTCTTTGCCCTGGGACCATAAGGAGACCCCAACTACTCTTAAGCACAGGCCAAACGGCTTCAAAAGGGAGGATTCTCGGAGGAAGGAGGTCGGCTAAAAAAATACACGAAAGGTTTTTGGAAGAGATACTCAGAGATGCTTCTCAGACATTCTTAAAATTTGACTTAAGAACGTATTTTCCAGGAAAGTCAAAATGACAGGCAAACCTAGTGAAAAGATGCTCTAGTTCCTCCTTAGGTATGCCACACCCCCGGGCCTGTTTTCTTTCACCTTGCGTCTAGATTAAATGACCCTTCAATTACACCCTGAGTCGTCAAAGCAAGTCTATTAGCGAGTGCCTGTTCAAAAACTTTCATCCAGGAGCTCTCCACCATCTGTTCCGCGGTCTCTTAAACCAGATCCGGCGCCCCCTCCCGAAACTCTTTGGAGCCTCCCTCGCCATCTCTCAGCCTTGGGGGGATGGAGCCGCCCCAGGACCTGCGGGAATGCAGAGGAGAAGGGGAGGAGCGCGATTGCGCCCGGGATGGGTTGCCAGACCAGCTGGGGCGGTGGTGGTCCAGAGGCCCGAGGTCGGCGGGACCTGATCGAAGGCAGCGCCGCGTCGACCACCCCGGGAGCCGGACGCTTGGGAGCCCCAGCCCGGCAGCGGCGCCCGGTCACTGAAGTTGCGCCCCAACTCCCAGCCGCCTCCAAGCTTCTCGAGCTAAGTTTCCTGACCCCTCCAAGGGAGTCTCACAGAGCTCGGTGGCCCTCGGCCTTGCCAACGTCACTTTAACTGTTTGGAACTCGTGAGCAAGAACCGAGAAGTGGAGAGCCCAGCCGGGGAGTTTTCAGCTTTTCTGTTTCACTTCGGGCTTCTTCTATTCAAATGGCTCTGCGCTGGCCACCGAATCCTGAATGAGGCGGGGCTCCTCTGCCCCAACTCCAGCAGCGGGAACTTGGTTCCCCTGGGCAGCCGGGGGCAGGGGGCGCCAAGGCCGTGGCGATAATGAAGGCTGAGACGGCCAAGGCCAGCGGGTCGGCGCGGGGCACTCCCGGGCCGGAGTGGCCATCGGCCGGAGTTCAGGAGGTAACTGAATTTATAAGCGGTTCTTAGAGCTTTCTAGCTCGAGGATTTTTATTTACCTCTACTGCTTCTCCATTTCACTAAGCTCGTTCTTTGCTCTGTGTTGTTTTAATTTCTATTATCGACTTTTATTTCATGGGATCACTTAAGAAAGTTTGAAAATAACATAAAAAATGCTTTAAACTTCGTGGGTAGTGTCAAGGAAACAGTCGAACCGTGTCTTGAATATGGTTGTTTTGTGTGTGTGTCTGCTTGTTTCTAATTTTGGCCACAAACACAAAATGTCTTTAAAATTGTCCAGGGACTGCTGCAGAACGCTAATCAATCAATTGCACGAAAACAGGTTTTTTCTATTATTGGAGGCAAGTATTTCAGTGTAGAGCAATAGAGCATGTTTGGGCTATCTTCTAATTGTTCGCCTTCCAGATTTCAGTAACACCCTTGTAAGTGACAAGCAAAACTTTGCTGGGTTTTGTTGCTTGACGCTGTTGCTCCACAGTAAAGGTTGGAGAAACTGGGTTACTTGTTTTATAAACTTCTTTTTTTCCATAAAGTCCAACCCTGAGTCATAGCCTCTCAGTCTGGAGGGACACACCTCACAGGCCTGTGGGAATGGGTGAGAAAAATCTCAGCATTAGTGGAGGGTCAGAAACAAACTGAGCCCAAGTGCTCGCTGTCTGTATTGCCTGCCACCTCATTAACAGCTCTCACATTTGGGCTCTTCATTTCCTTTCACAAACTGATTTGCTATGTAAATGCTGTTTTGAGAGAAATAATTTCACTGGGTTTAAATGAAATCCTAATATAAAAGAAATAATAACAACAAAGGTCTAGAGACAAATAATCCACCCTCACACTTCTTCCCCCAAAGAGAGGAGGGCTCTGTGAGTTAATCAACCCTTCCCACATTTATAACCTGTGATACTGTCCTTCACATTGCTTTAGGAACTTAGCAAAAATTCTTTATTTGCTACCAAACTAACTAAAAGCACACTAGTAGCCTTAAATTTGAACTTGTTGCCAATATGTTTGCTAACGTGTTGGAAAGTTAGTTCCCGTTGTGTATTAAGTAATCTGAGGTATTCAGAAACTCTTTCCTTGAACCTTATAGACCTTTGCTATTTGTGTCCCATCCCGTCACCCTGCCTCCATCACACACCAAAAGAAATAACAAAAGACCAGCCAGAGATAAAGACTATAAGCAGAAAACGCAGAGGAATTAAAAAACGTGTTTTTCCTTCTAGAAGTACAGTGTGTTGCCTTTGGTGCTATGTATTAAACAGGAAAAAGTGTAGATGTGCTTGAATGTCAAGGCTGGGGTGGGGGGTGATGTCAGAATAATAATAATGCTTTCGTCTCTCCTCCCTTAGCTCACAAGCTAAAGCAAAGAGAAAGCAGACTGTTGCTCTTGGTGAAGGGGCTGGGGGTCAGAGACGTTGAACAGGCCAGAAAACTCTAAAAACATGACCAGGGACAAGTCAATGAACTAGGGCAGAAAGTGGAATTAGTTATAATATTTTCCAATCCATTTTTAATTTAAAAAAATCAATAGTATTTTGTGACATATCAAGGAATAAGAGATTAGAGATTATGGCTTATTTGGTAATGTATGGCTCTATTATCTTATTACCTTTTATTTCGAATTGCAGTAACCATAGCCAGAAACTGCATTTGCTTATGATAGGGACTTCAACAAAAAGCCTGTGGAAATCATGAATATTTTTTAGTAATAGCAAGAACACAGCTTAGAAAGTATTGAAGTCAAAATCAGATTCCTTAGAAAAAGAGAATTTTAAATTACTTTAGAAAAGCAGGACTTTTTCTTATTTTTTAAATAGATCTTAACACAGAGTTTGTTATCTGGCCTCTTTATATCATGAACTGCTGTGGTTTCCTCAGGATATTTCATAAAGGATAAATCATACACTGAAACTCGCCTTCCATCAGGATTTGAGGTTATAAATACTGCCTTTCCATGGATGGAAAGGGGAGGCACACTTAATCATCAGCTCTCAGCAAAAAAATAGGATTATAGGATTCTCAAAGAAAATCCAAAGAAACTGTAAGAGTTTCTATTTTGCCATTAACAAAACAAACAAGGCTCCCTTGCATTTGTTTTAATAACTAAAAAATACTTGCATTGAAACGTTTTGAAAGCTTCTGAATTTGCTGAATATACTCTGTTTTTATTGCCTTTTTTGTTATTTTCAAATATATTTGGAAATAAAGTACTAGACAGATTGGACGGTAAGATAGAAGCCCTTTCTAAATATATTTTGTGTTTTGTGACAATTCTTATTTAATAGAGATAGTATTACTAATTAACATGTGTTTTTGGTTAGGTTTTGAAAAAATTAACAAATGTTGGATATCAAGGCCTGGAGTTGTAAAGCACCTTTTCAGTCTTTAGTAAACTCAAGGCCATCTTAAAGGAAGAGCATAATTGATGCTTTGCCATATTTGTGTTAACTCAAATGACATTTTCAAACACTTGCCAAAAGGGCAAATCCTGAAAAGACTAGTGAAAAGCAAACTGTTGAAATATAAACTATACAAAGCATGCATACCTCTTAGCCAATATTTTTTCCTTTTTAGTTTGGTATACACCAAAGGAGAAATTTACAGAGGTCAAAGAAAGGCTCTTTTGCAGTTAAGGAGAGGGGAGGGGGAGGAGAGGAAGGGGAGAGTGAGGGACACACCACAAGCGTAAAACGAACTGGTGGCATTCAGTCAAGAAGGCAGGTAAGGCTCCAGAGGCCGCGAATTGTGTACAAGTCAGCTGGACTCTCCAAAGCCTTCCAGAGCCGGGCTGCTTCGCGCTTCTTGGCTTTTTCCTTTCAACCTAGCCCGGTGGCGGAGGAGTGCAGCAGGAGGGGGATTTTTCGCTGCTGGGAAGTGGCAGGTAGGAAAAGGAATCTGATCCGGCCCAAAAGTCAGCAATTAAAGTCTTAACCGCGACCCATCTGTCGTGGGACAGAGAACCCCCCACCCCCCTTTGCCCCAGCAAAGCCCTTCCCGTGCCCTTTGTCTGAGCAGGGGAAAGGAGGAGACTGGTTCTGCGGCCCCAACAGCAAAAGGAAAGAAAATTTCCAGCGCTGACCAATACTGAGTGTCTGCGCCCGGTCCAAGGACAACTACGAAGCGCCTCTCGGGGATGTGGCGCCTCTCCGCTTGCTCTGCCCAGGTGCTCTGTCCCGTGGCCCCAGCAAAAGGAAAGAAAAATTTGCAGTCTGGGCGAATCCAAAGTAGGTGCACCCGGGCCAAGGACGGTTCCAAAGGGCCGCCTTGGAGTGTAGCGCCTCTTTGCTTTCTCCCCCCGGGCGCTCTGCCCTTCTCTGCTGCATCAGTTGTCCCAGCCTGAAGCCACCTCGAGGCCTGAAACGAGGCACTCCCAGGCCTAGCTGCTGAAGCCCGTCGTATTCAGCCAGACCTCTCCCCCCATCTTGCCCCTTGGCTGTCCTCAACTTCCAATAAGACTCACTCCCCCTCCCCCATTTCTTCAGCCTGTGAGCTTTCCCACCACTCACCCAGCTGCCACTGCCTTTCTGTTAGACATCAGGCGCGTTCCCAGCCCAAGCTCTCTTCCTTTCCACCCCTCTTGGCTCTTGGGGCAGAGGCGGAACTGATTTTCGCGGAAAGTTAGAGTGGGGCGGAGGGACCCGGGTAGCTTGCCTGGCATGTGTTGAGAATGGGGTAGAGAGGAGGGAATACTTTGACGTCAATTTCCTTCGTTTAAGGTCCAGTTTCGCATCTTTGAGTGAAATTGCTCAGGGACTTAATAATGCCAGGGTTTCTAGTCCGCCGTTATCCAGCCTTCCGGGGCCAACCCTTTTCAGAGCTCTAGCAGAAGGACGCCCCCACTACACTTGGCCCAATACCTGACACCCGCCACCACCTGTCTCACAGCCACGTGGGGTTAACTCACCAGGCAGATGGCACCTTGAGCTGCTGCGGTCGGCCACTCACTTCAGGGTCCAGGCCCCACCGCCCTTTGCTTGCAGCTCTGCGCGCTCCTTTGGCCTCCTCACGCCAGCTTACAGCTGCCGTGTCTTCAAACTCTGTGCAGCCCTTCCTGCGCGCCTAGCTGCGGGGTTCAGCTCTGCGTGATCGCCGGCTGGCAAGAGACTGCGCCGGGGAAGGTGCGCGCCGCAGCTTCCAGCGCGCTCCTGGACGCTCTTGCCTGGGCGGCGGGAGCCCGCACAGTCGGAGCCGCAGCCGTAGGCGTCTTCCCGGAAACCTCCACACGCTCCACCGCGCCGCCCCAGGAGTTTCGGCCGAGGTGCCACACCCGGCGGGTGTTCGGCTGGGGGGCGTTGCAGGGGAAATGGTCTCTACGCGCGCTCTTTGGGAGGCACAAGTGCACCTGTGGACACAACTCTGGCGCCGGCAAGTCTCCTTGATGCGCACAGACATCCAGGCTGCCGCCTGCGCTGCTTAGAGGAGGCTTGCAGACACCGGCAACCGGAGTGGGGATTAATACACTCTGTTTCCCTTCTCCGCTCGGCATTCAGTATTTAAAATGCTCCGGGAGAGCTCTAGCTGAGCGCAGGTACTTAAGAAAGAAATGCTCTTTCCAGACTCTCAATGGAAACTCGGAAGCGTGCGCGCGCGCGCGTCTGTGTGTATCCTGGGTGGGGTCCGATCGAGTCAAGGTTGCTTGTGGTGTGACACCCAATTATTCCTTGCAACTCCTCAACTTTGTGGATGAAAGTGCGACTTTCCCAGGCCTATTGCCGCGGGCATTGCCTTTACAAAACCACAAACACAGAACAAGCCTCCTAAGGCTTTTAATTTTCGGGGCGTTTGGGGAGGCCAGTTACCTGCCGGCGTCTTCTAAATGGTCCAGACTCGGTTCGGGCCGCGGAGACTCCGGGATTCCGGGAGCGGGCAACCCCGAGCCCTGGAGGAAGAAATAGGTCTGCGGAGGTGGCACAGATCTGACCCGGCCCAGCCCGGCCCAGCCCGGCCCACCCAGGCCCAGTGGAACCAAGCAGCGAAACCTCGGATTTCACTGCCGAGGCTTCCTAGCCGAGGCTTTCTGGAGCTTGGCGTTTGATAAATATAGCCTGGCGTTTGCCCCTGAATTAGACTCCGTTTCCTTATTTAGCCCTTGCACAATGATTTTAGATGATGTCACTTAGAGCTAAACGAGAAAATTGATCTCAGATTTGCTTGGCCTCTAAAGCCTGGTTAAGCAGATTGAGAATTAGAAAGGCAGAGGAAGCAAAAGGGGGGTGGGGATGGGGGGGTGCGGAGGGTAGTGAAGTGTGCGCGGCAGAGTGTGTGCGCAGAGGGGAGGGCGCGCCAAGCGGGTGAAAGCGCCCCCGCCTTTTCTGGGCGGGGAACCTCACTCACCAATGAAAAGTAGTTACTGACTGCAGATGAAAAAAAAAAAAGTTTTCCTGTTGACTGTTGGAAGCGAATTGAGCAATTATCTAGTTTACCTTCTCCTCTTGGAAGTTAACGATTGGCGAGATCTTGGCTGCGTTATTGACACAACACTTTCTATTGATAGAAATAAGTAGTGATTGTCCCCGAGTCATTGGTGCGCCAAGAACTCTGCGATGGGCTGGCAGGAGTCCATTGGGCTGGGCAGGCAGGTTCGGCTGGTGATGCTGGGGAGGAGGAGGAGGAGGAGGCTACTGGTGGTGATGGTGCCCGTCCCCCTCTCCGCAGGTCTGTGACAAGCAGGGAACAAGGCAACGGACGGCGCAACCCAGCCCCGGCTGACGGACGCTGGCGACTCAGACATGGACAGTAGCTGCCACAACGCGACTACCAAAATGTTAGCGACTGCTCCAGCTCGGGGCAACATGATGAGCACGTCCAAACCCTTGGCTTTCTCCATTGAACGAATCATGGCGCGCACCCCAGAGCCCAAGGCCCTGCCAGTCCCCCACTTCCTGCAGGGAGCCTTACCCAAGGGGGAACCCAAGCACTCTCTGCATCTCAACTCGTCGATCCCCTGCATGATCCCCTTCGTGCCTGTGGCCTACGACACGAGCCCCAAGGCAGGAGTGACGGGCTCCGAGCCGCGGAAGGCCAGTCTGGAGGCCCCGGCGGCGCCCGCGGCGGTGCCCTCGGCTCCCGCATTCAGCTGCAGCGACCTGCTCAACTGCGCACTGAGTCTCAAGGGCGACCTGGCCCGCGACGCGCTGCCGCTGCAGCAGTACAAGCTGGTAAGGCCGCGTGTGGTCAACCACTCTTCATTCCACGCCATGGGCGCCTTGTGCTACCTGAACCGAGGTGACGGCCCATGCCACCCGGCAGCCGGCGTGAACATCCACCCGGTGGCCTCCTACTTCCTCAGTTCCCCTTTGCACCCGCAGCCAAAAACGTATTTAGCCGAAAGGAATAAACTGGTGGTCCCGGCGGTGGAGAAATACCCTTCTGGAGTAGCTTTCAAAGACCTGTCCCAGGCTCAGCTGCAGCATTACATGAAAGAAAGCGCCCAGCTTCTGTCGGAAAAAATCGCGTTCAAAACCTCGGATTTCAGCCGAGGCTCTCCTAATGCCAAGCCCAAAGTTTTCACTTGCGAAGTGTGTGGAAAGGCAAGTACAATGCAAAACGGAGATCCTTTCCTTCCCTCCCTTCCTTCCTTCCTTCCTTCCCTCCCTCCCTCCCTCCTTCCCTCCTTCCTTCCCTCCCTCCTTCCTTCCTTCCTTCCTTCCTTCCTTCCTTCCTTCCTTCCTTCCTTCCTTCCTTCCTTCCTTCCCTCCCTCGCTCCTCCTTTCCTTCCTCCCTTTTTAGTATTTTGGGGGTAATTATTTGCATACACTTTTTGTTAAGATTCTCTTCCTCCTACCCTCTCTCTGCCCGGTTTGATTTCAAAGTTACTTGTGCGGCTAACCTGTTCTACGTGTGTTTAATTTTAAGGTCTTTAATGCGCACTATAACTTAACCCGTCACATGCCAGTGCACACAGGAGCCAGACCCTTCGTTTGCAAAGTGTGCGGAAAAGGTTTCAGGCAAGCAAGCACCCTGTGCAGGCACAAGATCATTCACACGCAGGTGTGTTCATCTGTCTCAATTTCACCTAGTTTGCTTCCGAACTGTTTGCAGAAAAACAGCCGATAAAACCTTACTCTTTAGGATAACGTTCATTTAAAAAGTGCTAGCTAAACAGGGTGAATGCCATGTATTGTTTGCTTTTGTTCTGCTTGAAAGTGTTTAAGCATTACTGTGTTTTGAGCTTGCAGAACTTCACATAATTAGAAAATATCTAAATGTCTCTGCTTTTCCTTTCTCCTGCTTAGGAAAAACCTCACAAATGTAACCAGTGTGGCAAAGCATTTAATAGAAGTTCCACTTTAAACACTCATACCCGAATACACGCGGGCTACAAACCGTTTGTGTGTGAATTCTGTGGCAAAGGGTTTCATCAAAAAGGTATGCAAACCAGGAAATGTCTCTCATGGTTAGTCTTATGAAAAGCCATACTTAATACTTTCGGGATGTTTTAGAAGACGATGTTTAAAGTGTAGTTATGTGGCACTTTTGTTGCCATTCTAACTCCCTACTCGAAGTCTGATTAGTATTAGAGAAAAGCATGATTCATAAAACAAGGGTATATGTTTTAACTGCATGCTCTCATTGTATGTAATTGGACTGATAAATGTGTATTAAAATTTAAGGAAACGGCATCACTGTTGATGCGATGCTTGAAAATAAACTTGGGGAGACAAGTGCAGGCACAGATAGTAGCCCTGCACTTGTTGTGGGACCTGTGGCGGCTCTTCTGCTTGCCTGGCGCTACCTTCCACGTGTCTGCTCCTCCCTTTTTAAGCTATTTTTTTTTTCAGAACCATATTCCTGTCATTTGTGTGTTTCAGGGAATTACAAAAACCACAAGTTGACCCACAGCGGGGAGAAGCAGTTCAAGTGCAATATCTGCAACAAGGCTTTCCACCAGGTTTACAACCTCACCTTCCACATGCACACCCACAACGACAAGAAGCCTTTCACCTGCCCCACGTGCGGCAAGGGTTTCTGCAGGAACTTTGACCTCAAGAAGCATGTCCGCAAGCTGCACGACAGCAGCCTGGGGCTGGCCCGCACGCCAGCTGGCGAACCAGGCACTGAACCGCCGCCCCCGCTACCGCAGCAGCCGCCGATGACGCTGCCTCCTCTGCAGCCGCCGCTGCCAACCCCGGGGCCCCTGCAGCCCGGGCTCCACCAGGGCCACCAGTGATCGAGGCTAAGGGTCCTCCCAGCCTCAGCCGTGCCCCCACGCTGAGGCAGCGGCAGACTAGAGCTCCTGGTCCGAGTTCGTCTGCAGACCCCAGGGCATGTTGGGCCCCACACTTCAGGGCCGACCAGAAGCCTCTGCATCCCCTGGCCTTTCGCCTCTTGCATGCACCTGCTAAATGGTTTTGTGTATTATATTCTATATAGGCACTAACAATTATGAAAAATTTGGAGGGTTTTGCTTGTTTTCTGTTTTTCTTTTTCTTTTTTTTTAATTTGGAAAGACTTTTCATCTTGGGTGGAGAGATGGTGTTTATTTTGTTTTGTTTTGTTTAAACAAATTTCTGCTATATTTATTGAGATCTGTATTATTCTACCCGGGAATGCTGCATCATTTTAATTTTATTATTGTATATATTTCCATTGTGTTGATTCTCCGGTCTCAAGATGTCTGCTGGATGTTGATCATTTCCTCTTTCCCTGAAGTAACAAAACACTGTGTGTATGTCATATATACACGCATAGATGTGTGCGCCCATAGGGGTACATTCCACATTCGTGAGCACACACCCATACACATTAGATAAGGGTGGTTCATTATGGATGATTTTGAATTTTGGTTTTGATTATTGCACGTGAAAATTGATTCATTGACTGTTGGAAATAAATACTTGGAACATGCTTATTTAATCAACAAACTTTAGGGCTCTGTTCATACTATTCAGCTAAAGATCCCTGACTCTGACCCCCTCATCCCTCCGCCTTTTTAAAATCTAAAACCCTGGATTAGTAATACTTAATGTTTTGGTCTGAAAATCTATCAAGTGCAAATAGTCTCTTCTAAATGGTTACACCTTTGGGTAAAGTTATGAAATCTGGTAAAGTTCAGAAGCAGAAGACATGGAGTTTTCTAATAGAAACATAAATTTGGCTTGGACCACCTGATACGTTCGTAGTGCACAGTTAAATGGGAACAACGTATCCAGTAGCTGTATGCAATGTACATCTCCTCAAACGCATTACAATCATAGATAGACAGGTATCTATTGTTTGCATCCTGACGGCACATACTGACTTGTACACAGCTGGCAAACGGAGCCTCCGTGTTTTTACATGTGTATGTATGTTTATAGACGAATATACTTCCATTCAAGGAGGAAACATGGATGAAAACCAAACTGTGGCGGGTGCCAGGTCCTTGAAATGCTTCAAGTGTTAATCAGCGGCTCCGCTGTGAGCTCGGGCTCTGGTGTTTCTAACTGCACGTCTCTCCTGTTTTCTTGCCAAAACAATGAAACAACTGCTAAAGACTTTAATTAAGAGGGGTAATTAGTTCAGATTTATCAAAGCCGGGTTGTTATACTATTAGCTGCTCAGTAGAAGCTGCCAGACAAACAGCCCAGCACCGTAGTGCTACTGCAGCGGGGCCACATCCCGGGAGGGCGACTGGGGGGAGCGGGCCCCGGGGTCCTCGCCTCGCCGCTTCGGACTCCACCACCCCGCCAGGCCCGGGGCCAGTGCGGCCAGCCCCGCAGGCCTCAGGGGCCCCGTGGCCCCTCCCCCGGCCCACTCTCTCCCTCCAGGGCTGTTGTCGCGGAGAATCCACCATCGGTCCACACCGCGGGCCCAGGTTCTACAGAGTCCAGGGATCTCCTTTCTGCACCCACCGTAGCGCGTCCTCACCAGCTCCGGGACCGCCCCGACAGTTGCGGGGAATAAACTTAAATCTGTGGCCCCGCCTCACTTCTATGAGTCCTGCGGCGCCCAGGAAAAGGCGGCGCGGAGCTGAGAAAGGCGAGACCGAGACCGGAGATGTGCAGGGGACACTGCAGGGGCGCGGCGGCTGCCACCCGAACTCACATTTCATGGCGGGGAAAGACTGACCGCTCTGGTCACCGAGAGTGGGTGACCTGAGTGCTTCTCAACGGCCTAGGAAGCAGGGAGATTACTAACAGCCCCTGTGGGGTGATCGCGGACGGGTAGGTGACCCAGCCCCGCAGGGACCCTCACGCCAAGTCCGGCCTGAGCTCCTTCCGGGTTGTGGAGCGAGGTTGGGGGAATCTAGAGAGCACGGACCTGGTGTGGGCTGGGAAGGTCCCCAGAACAGGGAGGTCCTGACACTTCCTGCAGACATCGGGTCCAGACCTTTCTCAACGCTTGTGCTAGTACGCACGCCCTTTGGACACAGGGAACAAGCTCCAGCCCAGCCATTATTAGATCGAAAACCGATGTTTCTCCTTTCCTGACCTCATGCCCCGACCTTGCCCACTGTTGGGGCCAAATCCATGTTAGATTTGACTTCGGAAAGCGAGGGAGCGAGGGTCTTGGAATTCCATAGTTGGCTGGATTCCGAATCTATGCGGCCCTAAGTAGCTCCATCTCTCACAGAATATCACAGCTGATTTGATAATCTTGTCTCAGGCTCTGGCCACATTCCATGACAGCTGCCTGTCACGAAGGAGTTTTGAGAGATGCTGCAGAGTTTATGAATCACCCTTTCCAAAGTAGCTTAGTTGGATTTTTAAAGCATTCGGTTTGAGTAAATGTGAATGAGATCAGGAGTCGTTATAATTTGCAACCTATACATTTCAGTGAAAAAGCAGAAAATGGCCTTTGCTTCTTGAACTTGTCAATACATATTTGAACTTATTCTCAAAACCCAGGGTGTAGATTCTTCTAGACATTCGAGATGACACGATCTTACTGGTGGAAAGCAAAATGAATATTATTGAGGAAGATTACTCAACCATTAAATACCCCAGGCCAGTGTACTTTGACATATTGGGGTTGGGGGTACTCTTCTATGGAATAATATAATTGGTTTGTTTCAATCCAGAAAAAAAGAAAGAGAGAAAGGAGGGAGAAGGAGAAAAGAGAGGGAGGTTGAGAGAGAAAGAGAGAGAGAGGGAGAGGAGAGGAGAGGAGAGGAGAGGAGAGGAGAGGAGAGGAGAGGAGAGGAGAGGAGAAAGATGAGGAGAGGAAAAAGAAAGCCTAAGAAGAAAAGATGAGAATGAATAGAATAAGAGAAGGAAAGAAACAGAAAAAATAGAGAATCAGTTATCGTACATTCCACATTGTAATGTGGAATGACTTTGTTATAAGGTCTGATCTGGGATGGTGCAATAGTTCCAGTTAAGGCAGGCACAAGGAAATTATTGTCTGCTCACATGTTTGAGCAGCTGGGAGTGTTGGTGATTAAGTAGAGGAAGCCAAAAGGAAATTCTCTAAAATGAAGCACTCAAGAGAACTACTTTTCCGGAGGTAAATTATCAATGAACTTTGATTTATGATAAAGCTGTTAGAGCTTACATCAAGGAGAATCTTCTTAAAGAGAGTATGAGCTTAGGGATTAAGTTTATGGGAGAAAAAAAATTGATGAAGTGGAACACTTAGCTAATAGTCAGGGAAAGACCTTACAATTCTCTCGCCTCAACTAATATTGAAAGGTGATTTTTTTCCTTCAACTATCTAACCTCTGCATGTGTGTATGTCTCTGTGTGTGCATGTCTCTGTGTTACACGTGTCTTATATAGATTTTTATGCTTGCTCATGAAACAGCTTCCCTAAAAGTATGAATTGAAACTTGGTTTTGTCCCAGTCCACCTTCTTTTGATCAGACATGAGCCAGCAAACTCTCTCATGTTTAGTGAGGAAGAGAGGCCACTGTCCAGATTATCTGCTGAGGGAAATGGTTTATCTTCAGCTCCCTCTGTTGGAATTAACTTTTGGTATAAGGAAGGTGGCCTTCCTCTGGAAAGGGCAGCAGAGACTAATTTTAGAAACTTGGTGATTCACTGAGACCTTATATTTAGTTCGGTTTTGGAAATCAGAGCATAGAACATAATTCACATTGTAAGTAGTGATTTCCTATATTTTTTTTAAATTTTTTTGAGACAGTGTCTTGCTCTGTCACCCAGGCTGGGGTGCAATGGCACACTCATGGCTCACTGCAGCCTCTACCTCTGATGCTCAAGCGATCCTCCTGCCTCAGCCTCCCAAGTAGCTGGGACCAGAGGTACATGCCACCATGCCCGGCTAATATTTGTATTTTTGGTAGAGACAAGATTTTGCCATGTTGCCTAGGCTGGTCTTGAACTCCTGGGCTCAAGTGATACTCCTGCCTCCAAATCCCAAAGTGCTGGGATTACAGGCATGTTACATGTGTCTTACCACACCCAGACAAATTCCTATCTATTTTATTTTAACACAGAACCCAAATCCTGATTTCCAATAATCTCTTCCAAAGGTAACAATTTGTTTAGATTTCCCAAATTTTAGTTTAAGAACAAGTTATTATGCAAGAGTAAGACTAAAGTGTCAATTTTTAATAGTAAATGAAAGCATTGCATATGGGACTCATCAAAGCTGTTACTTGTTAGTGATGCTTGAAGCTTAGTGAGTTTCTTGTGGAACTTTGCTCCTCTTCAAGTATGGAAGAAATTAATCTACAAGATGCAATGAAGTCATAATTCCCAGAATGTGTGTATCCTGTTTCATAGATTTCTCCCTCATCAATATCAGAAATCCTAATTTTGCTAGAACTGGTAACAACTCAGAATTAACTAAAGTATAACTGTAGTGGGTATATTTTGCCTTGTAAAGTATTTATTGTAACACTTGCAGTATAAAATACAGTGATCTCAAATTCAAAATTGGAGCAGAAACAAAAATGTTTTCTTTTTCACTTTATAAACCTATGTACTGGGTAAATCTGTTACTCATGAAGTTTATGATTTTAAGGGCCCACAACTTATTGTTGTTACCAAAGAGAGTGCATTTTAAAAAGCATTAAAATTAAAACCAACGTAAATTTCAATGGGTAAGAATATGAAGTTGTTGGCTGTTGAGATAAAAAGTAATTTTGAACCCAATGAAACATTGTCTTTTTGCTATATTTTTGTTAAAGCCACAGATTACTCTCACACAAGAAGTTATTTGTGTCCATTGGGTTAATTAAAATCTGGATAACAAACTGTATTTGTGAGTAGAAAATACCTTGCTATGAATTTCATTGCTGGCTGGGTGCGGTGGCTCACGACTGTAATCCCAGCACTTCGGGAGGCCAAGGCAGGTGGATCACCTGAGGTCAGGAGTTCAAGACAAGCCTAGTCAACATGGTGAAACCCCGTCTCTACTAAATATATAAAAAATTAGCCAGGTGTGGTGGCAGGCGCCAGCTACTTGGGAGTCTGAGGCAGGAGGATTGCTTGAACCCCGGAGGCAGAGGTTGTAGTGAGCTGATATCGCACCTTTGCACTCCAGCCTGGACAACAAGAACAAGAACAGAGCTACATCTCAAAAAAAAAAAAAAAAAAAAGATTTTAATTGCTTCTAGAAATTAATGCAGTGTGTCCATTTCAGCTTCAGGACAAACTAAAGACAAATAGTGATATACTATTCAACACACTGGTTATTTGCATGATTTTGGTGTTAAAGAAATTGCCAGTTCAAGCTAGCCTAGGTTATCTCCCTCCATGCAAAAGCGAAGAGGATGCCTAGCGTTTAAATGACCTTGATATGAAAACCTATCTCTGTTATTGTAATTTTCTCCATACATTGCTACATGTTGCCTATAATGATCTTGGAGAAAAAGTCAAAATTCATCATGTAATTGAATGAGTATAAAGTTATTACAAATCATTATGCACATTTTCTGTTCAAGACTGAGGTGACACTGGTGTCAAATGAAATCATGTCACTGTTGGTCTTATGGAGATTAAGTTACTAAGTAAAGATTAAATAAAATTCTGCCAGGACAGGTCTCCAGGGTTAATATTTTGCTGTCAAACAAACAAATGTTGCTCCTGGGTACGAAGGTGTGGGAATGGAGAAAGAAAGCATGAGGTATCAGTTTCTAACTAGAGCTAGAAATCTATCACAAAATGTAGAGAAGATCATCAGTTTGATTTAGCTTTGTTCTTCTTAGTAGGAATAATGAAGACTTTTCTTTTTGTCTGAGAAATCTGAAAGTTTAGATCAATGCATGACTCTCTAGTTACAATAACAAGGTGAAGTCTTTTGACAAGCCACAATGGAAATGTAACTTATCAATTAAATATAATAAATATGATAACCAAATCTGGAGTGTGTGTCTTAGTTAGCTCAGACTGTTGTAATAAAATATCATAGACTGGGTGACTTAAACAGCTGAAATGTTTTTCTCACTGTTCTGGAGGCTGGAAGTCTCAGATCAGGATACTAGCATGGCCTTCTTCTGGTGAGAGCTCTCTTTCTGGTTTGCAGATCTACCTTCTTGCTGTGCATTCACATGACCTCTTCTTGTGCCTCCTGGGGAGAGACAGAGAAAGCAAGCTCTTGATTTTCTCTTTTTATAAGGGCACTAATCCCATCCAAGGCTCCACCCTCACAACCTCATCTACCTCTAGTTGCCTCCCAGAGGCCCTATCTCCAAACACCATCATATTCAGGATCAGGGCATCAACAAATGAATTCTGAGGGGACACAAACATTCAGTACATAGCAAACATACACTATGTTTGTATGTTTGTAGTGTATGTTTGTGATATAGCAGTGGGTGCAGTATTCCAAAAGTGTAACTTGTTTACACAAAGCTCTTAATAAAAGTGGACTTACATTTTTAAAATTTCAGCAAAATCTACATTTTGGGAATCTCTAAAGGATAAACAACCCAGCAACCCAGTTTCTTCAACAAATAATTGTAAGGAAGAGAGAGAAGTAGAGGAATAGAGAAAGGAAGAGAGAGAGAGAGAGACAGAGAGAGGAAAGAGAGAGAAAGAGAGAGAACAAGGAAACCTATTTTTTAAAAAGACTTAAAAAAAAAAGAATAATCAATTATTACATGTGAATCTTATTTTAATCCCAATTCAATGAATAAACTGTAAAAATAAAGTCACATATTACATCTAAAATTACTGGGAATTTGAACACTGGGCATTTAATAAAATTAAGGAATTATGCTTACTTTTTAAGATGTGAAAAATGTAGCATACTTTTGTGTTAAAATAGTTTTTTAGAGCTCTGTATTCTGTTACTTAAGTGTAAAATGATAAGATTTCTGGGATTTGTTTAAAAATAATATTGGAGAAGAGGAATAGGTATACATATAGATCAAATAAGAGCTATAATATTAATCTTTTGATAATCATTAAAGCTGGATGATGATAAAGATTGTATTATACATTCTGAATACTTTCAAGTCTTAAATTGTTTTGTTTAAAACAAAAAGTTTTAAACAACTCCTCCAGTGAATTGTACCATGTCACAAAAATTCTTCCCTAAACACTCATAACCCTATAACCCTGAAGCATTACTTGTATTTTTTACATTTTTTTAAATCTGATTTCAGGAATAATACCATTACTATATAGAGCTTTAAACTTTTGTGAAAAAGTTTAAAAATTAAGTAAAATAAGATATGCAGAAATTTTGAAATGGGAAAGGAGGTAGAGACATAAAAGATGCCTTTCAATAATTATCAGTTAATGATATAAAGGAAGAGACCAATGGATCTGTTACTCTTGTAAGAAGAAGGGAAAATTGAGGGCCAAAGACAATAGAAAAATTATATTTATTAAAGCTATTTCAGATAGTAAGGAAGAAACATATATAGGTTCCACCCTATAAATATGTATAGGGTTGTAACTGTCATCTACCTAATAGAGACCAGGGAATTTGCTAAAATTTCTTAAATGTATAGGATAGTCCCATAAAATAAAGAATTTTCTGGACCAAAATGTCAATAGTGCCAAGACTGAGAAAACCTTACTTAAAGCTTCTAGTTCCCAGGGCAGGTTCTAATAGGGTCAGTTTGGCCTCTTTAACTGACCTATTCATCTGGGTATTAATTCATAGTCCACTCAATCAAACAAACAAAAAACTGTAAAACTAGGCAACATATGTGAAGCATCTGTTTTAGGTATTTAGCAATAGACTGTGCAGAACTGTCATCATAAAAATCTGGACTCCCAATAATATAAAATCTATAATATCTAGCACACAATAAAAATTAATAGACATATAAAGAAGCAAGACAATGTGACATATAATTTGGAGAACAAATAAGCAATTTAAAGAGATCCCAATCTGACAAAGATGTCAGGATTAGCAGGCAAGGACATTAAAACAGCTGTTATAAAAATCTTCAATAATTCAAAAAAATGGGACATAAGTAAATATATGGGTAATCTCAGCAGGAAAATAGACACTATAAAACAAGAACAAATGAAAATTTTAAAACTGAAAAATAAACCTGAAATTTTACTGGATGTCTCTAATAGCATATTGGACAATGCAGAAGAAAAAAAAAATCCATAAACTCTAAGACAGGTCACTAGAAACCTAAATTGATACTCTGGCAAATCAAGATTATTACATATTTTATATATATTATCATATAAAATACATATAATCATATATATGTATATATATATTAAACAACAGACAGTCATTTTTTCATAGTTCTGAAGGCTGAAAATCCAAGATCAAGGTGTTGACAGATTTAGTTCCTGGTGAGGACTCTCTTTCTGGCTTGCAAAATGCCACCTTCTCGCTGTGTGCTCACAGGGCCTTTCCTTAGTGGTTGCAAAATAAAATTAAGGTGCCGGTCAGACTGAATTCCTTCTGGAGACTCTAGGGAAGAAATTTTGCTTTTTCCAGCATTGAGAGGCCACCTGCAGTACTTGCCTCACGGTCACATTCTTGTTTTATATGTTTTAAGCTTTTATATGTATGATCTTATTTGATTATCTTTCAAAAATTATGAGTTAGACCACACTTAACAGCATCATTTTACAGTTGAGAATTTTGAGGATTTTAGAGGTGAAGAGACATGCTCAAAGTCACCCAGCAGTCAGAAGACAGAACTAGAAGACAGAATTAAAAGGCAGAAGAAGACTGGACCATGGTGACTCCAAGACAAAGACACTTTAAGCTATCATAACAGAGAAATATTGGAATCAGCAAGCCCTGACAGTTAATGTCCTGGTAAACTAAAGGAGTATGGCTTATGAGAGCCAGAACCAGAACCAGGCATGGCTCTACTTTACAATAATGATTAGCCAGTGGGGGCTGGTTTTTTTCAATATCCCCACAATCAGAAATGAAATTACACTCTTAAAACTCACAATTTGATATCAAATATAAGAAGGAACTCCTAATTGTAAAGAAAAAAAAAGATTTCACAGCTGGATGCATTGGCATGACCTTGTAATCCCAGCTAATTAGGAGGCTGAGGAAGGAGAATCTCTTGAGCCCAGGAATTTGAAACCAACCTGGGCAATACAGTGAGATCCCATCTCAAAAAAATTAAATAATTAAATTATATTAAATTAAATGATTCTACAGTAATACAATCAGGAAAGTTACAGAGTTTTTATGGCTAATGGTAGACAATGGAGTACTATATGATTAAGTTGGTTGGGCACTCTTTGCCTTTGAGACAATTAACATTTCTTCAAGGCATTTACCTAATCAATATATCAAATGTGGCATACAAAAAGTTGGAAAACTAGTATGATTAAAAAAGAAATAGCTAGAAGTCAGGACTATCCTTAATGTCACACAAAGTAATTGGCAGAAAATGCTAAATTCTACTGGATAATCCTTGGTGCATCTTAATACATAGCTATACAGTTCAAATACATGTATATTCCTATTCAATTAAGTACCGATATTTTACAGGGTGAGTTTAAAATATTACATGAGAAATCAAATAAATTTCAAGTATGTAGTGCATTGTTTCAGTCTTCATCACAGAACTTAAAGGACACCTAGAATGGAAACTTGAAAGAAAAACTTGAGAAGTACTAAGAAAGCTAAATCAGTCAGTCAACAAAAATGTATTGTGTGCATTATGAGACAGGACTTGTACTAAATGCTATTGCAATAGTGGTACAATAAAGAACATTGTCTATGTTTTGATGGATCTCAACCATAATGTATTTAATATGAAATAATAAATAATTATAAGCATAGAAAATAGTATGAAAAAGAAGTAAGAGTTTCTGAAAGGAGGATCTAATAAAGTCAGAGTGAAAAAGGTGGTTGTTTGTAAAAGCTTTCCTGAGGAAGTGATTTTAACAGGAGTATTTTTATCACCATCTGTATCTTTCTTGTATGTAAGCCATTTTTTTCAATAAAAGACTTAAATCTTAGGGAAGAGAAGAAAATATATTTCTTGAACAATAAGATTATCTTTGTATTTTTATTGTACCTTGAGTTTCAGAGTTAGTCTTTTGGATCTATAGTTAGATGTCTTAAAATCTAGGCTTTGTAAGGAAAAACTTTTTTTATTAATCTCAAAAGTCATATTTTGTCCTGCTGAATATTTTGAGATAGTTTCAAATATTAATACCAAACACATAAGATACAAGTATAATTATGTTTATAAATTCATCTGTTTGGCCTGTGTAAAAGAAAAGTCAATTTTGGAAAATGATACTTGAATCATGCAACTTAATCAGGGGATGATTCCAATTTTAGCTGGTGTCCCAGTTATGGTTTCTTCTGGAGTAATTAAACATATCCCATGGGCCTGGCATACTGCTATCAATTTGGAAAATGTTCCTTTTCTTTGGTGATGATGAGTAAAGATTGCCTGACAACATTTGCTTTTACTTGGCAGGGGTAGCAATACACTTTCCTCTTCTTACCACAGAGCTATGTGAATTCTCATGATGCCTGCGCAATTTTTACTGCACAACGTTCACTTCAAATTCTAAAATGGCAGCATAGAAGTAAGCTGACTTCACTCCCTGCCTCAAATAGAAAACCAACAAAATATATACAGCACCAAGATTATTACCAGCAATATTCCAGAACTCATATATGAGAAGGAGACAGTTCCCAGGGCCACAGAGAAGTGAAACACTCCCAACAGCTTGTAAGAGAATTGGATTTTCATAACTGTGGTGCCCCTCCCCTCAATCTGCCCAGCACCAAACTCATGGAAAATTAATATGGGAAAAAGTAATATGGAGGTGGACACTCAGCTTTCCCATCATCTTGGGCTACCTGGCAGGAGACCTGTTCCTGACTTAGCCCATAGGCAGCATTGGGAGTGTCTGAAGGAAGAAGTATCCTTGAGGACAACCAGAAACAATGGGGAGAGGTGAGACTACCATCCCTAGCTCTGGAAATTCTGCTCTATAACCTGACAAAAGTAGATTCCAAATTGGAGTGGCTGTTCAGCAGCACAAGCTGTAGGAGGTTCATTTGACAGGTCCCTTGAGCATAAACCCCTAGCTAACCTTCCACATTGCCAGGCTATCCCCGCTTTGGACTTATCCCATGTGGAATGGGTGGTACTCTGAGTCTTTAACTAGAGCTGAGGCAAACCTGGGCTTAAGGTGCCATCTAATGCCAAAAAGGAGACAGTGTCCAAGTGTGAACAAAATAAAGAAAATCAACACATAAATTACAAAGAATCTCTGTGCAAACATATCCAATAAAAACCAAAACAAGCCAGACAGAGAAGATGGATAAATAATTCATATTTCAATGTGAAAAAATAGACATACATCCACAGGAAACAATAGCAGACAGAGAACCATAACATCCTCAAATGGAAAAAGCATGGAACCAGTCACTGACACTAACAAGACGGTGATATGTGAACTCTCTAAGTAATCAAAATAACAGCTTTAAGGAAACTCAGTGATCTCCAAGATAACACAGAAAAGCAATTAAGAAATTTATCTGGGAAATGTAGCATAGAGGTTAAAATTAAAAAAAAAAATCAAACAGAAACCATGGAACTGAGAAATACACTTGCTAAATTGAAAAAGGTAATAGAGGCTCTCAACATCAGAATGAGTCAGAGAAAAGGAACAAGTGAGGTTGAAGACTAGCTATTTGAAAATATGTAGAGTTGGAAAAAAAATAATAAAAAGGAAGACCAGACCTATTTTACAAGAAAGCCTAAGGGAATCTTTTTTTAATCTGAGTTTGGTATGCATAGCATGATTCCATTACCAAAAGGAAGTGGTAGGTTTGAAATTTGGTGTAATTAAATCTTAAAAACACAAGTATGCTGCAAGAACAGGTGGTCCAAGATTTCATGTCACTTATATTTTAATCTATAGTTTTGGGCCCTTGGGGACATTCTGTATTGACTGAGGGAAGGAAAATAAATGAACCTAGTTTAAAGATCATTCTGCATGATATGCTGACTGAAGGACAGTTCTCTGTATAGCCTTGACAAACCTTGCTCCTCCCTCTTTCTCACTTGCAGTTCTCAAGAATAACTGTAGAATACACTGGGAATGCAACATCCTGAGATAAGGATGAACTGGCTGAAACATCCCTGACTCTATTCCTGTGTGTCCTAAGACAGGAAGTCCTGTATTGCTTTAGCCCGGTGGTTCATGTGACCCCCAGGGTATAAAACTGATGTGATATGGAGCACATGCAGACAGGATTCCTTCTGCCATATGTAGCTTTCCTGAGGCTTGGGGACTGGCTCACTATGAATCCTAGGCTTCCACTGTCCCTGATGCCTATCTGTGAGTAATAAAGTTGCTTTGCTTAACTGATGTGAGTGTTCTGTTTCACAAGACCCATGCAAGTAGTAGAAAATGCTGCTCAATGAAGGATATGAACAGACATTTCTCAAAAGAAGACATTTATGCAGCCAACAGGCATATGAAAAAATGCTTATCATCACTGGTCATTAGAGAAATGCAAATCAAAACCAAGATGAGATAGCATCTCACACCAGTTAGAATGGTGATTATTAAAAAGTCAGGAGACAATAGATGCTGGTGAGGCTCTGGAGAAATAGGAATGCTTTTACACTGTTGGTGGGAGTGTAAATTAGTTTAACCACTGCGGAAGACAGTGAGGTGATTCCTTCAGGATCTAGAATGAGAAATATCATTTGACCCAGCAATCCATTACTGGGTATATACCCAAAGGTTTATAAATCATTCTATTATAAAGACACATGCACACATATGTTTATTGTAGCACTATTTACAATAGCAAAAACTTGAACCAACCCAAATGCCCATCAATGATAGACTGGATAAAGAAAATATGGCACATATATACTATGGAATACTATGCAGCCATAGAAAAGAATGAGTTTATGTCCTTTGCAGGGACATGGACGAAGCTGGAAACCATCATTCTCAGCAAACTAACACAGGAACAGAAAACCAAACACCACATGTTCTCACTCATAAGTGGGAGTTGAACAATGAGAGCACATGGACATAGGGAGAGGAATATCACATACAGTGGCCTGTCAGGGGGTGGGGGGCAAGGAGGGGAGAGCATTAGAACAAATACTTAATTCATGTGGGGCTTAAAACCTAGATGATGGGTTGATAGGTGCAGCAAACCACCTTGGCACATGTATACCTATGTAATAAACCTGCACATTCTGCACAGAACTTAAGGGAAAAAAAAGGACCTCGTTATCAAAAGAAGAAGAAGAAGAAGGAGAAGGAGAAGGAGAAGAAGAAGGAGAAGGAGAAGGAGAAGGAGAAGAAGAAGAAGAAGAAGAAGAAGAAGAAGAAGAAGAAGAAGAAGAAGAAGAAGAAGAAGGAGAAGAAGAAGAAGGAGGAGAAGAAGAAGGAGAAGGACAAGGAGAAGAAGAAGAAGGAGAAGGAGAAGGACAAGGAGGAGAAGAAGAAGAAGAAGAAGAAGAAGAAGAAGAAGAGGAGGAAGAAGAGGAAGAAAATGCTGTCCAAGATGCAAAGGGGGGAAGCGGTAACCAGTGCACCGTCAACCTGCTTCACACTAACACCAGAGAAGAAAGAAGAAAGAAGAAGCAGAAGCAGCAGCAGCAGCAGCAGCAGCAGCAGCAGCAGCAGCAGCAGCAGAAGAAGAAGAAGAAGAAGAAGAAGAAGAAGAAGAAGAAGAAGAAGAAGAAGAAGAAGAAGAAGAAGAAGAGAAGAGAAGAAGAAGCAGAAGAAGAAGAAAAGAAGAGAAGAAGAAGAAGCAGAAGAAGAAGAAAAGAAGAGAAGAAGAAGAAAAGAAGAAGAAGAAGAAGAAGAAGAAGAAGAAGAAGAAGAAGAAGAAGAAGAAGAAGAAGAAGAAGAAGAAGAAATGCTGCCCAAGATGCAATGGGCTGAAGCGGTAACCAGTGCACTGTCAACCTGCTTCACACTAACACCAGTTAGAAGTGAAACCCTGAAGCGTTATAATCCCAAGTAGACAAAACCTTCAGAGACAGTGGATAAGGGAAATTCTCTTTTTAAAAAGAAATTTCGAGTAATACATCTGTTGCCCACTTGAAGGAACAAAGGCAAGAAATATGTATCTACATTTATTCACAAGATACAGCTAATTATTTGTCTACACGGTCAAGGACTGAAATGGAACATGATTGGAAAATTTGTGAAAAGAAGACCTAGAAAACAGAATGGTAAAATGGACATTTCTTAATGGGCCCAGAATGTTAGGATATTTATGTCCCATATGATTGGTCACTAATGGGTATCAACTAGGATGAAATTTTTTGATCATCAGGTGAACAAGATTACTTGCTCTGGGGTTATGAATCAATCTCTCTCCCTAGCTGTGATGGTTAATGCTGAGTGTCAACTTGATTGGATTGATGGATGCAATGTATGGATTCTGGGTGTGTCTGTGAGGATGTTGCCAAAGAAGATTAACATTTGAGTCAGTTGGCTGAGAAAGGCAGGCCCACCCTTAATCTGAGTAGGCACAATCCAATCAGCTGCCAGCATGGCCAGAATAAAAAGCAGGCAGAAGAGTGTGAAAACACTAGACTGGCTTAGCCTCCCACACTACATTTTTCTCCATGCTGGATGCTTCCTACCCTCACATGTGGGACTCCAAGTTCTTCACCTTTGGGACTCGGACTGGCTTCCTTGCTCCTCAGCTTGTAGATAGATAGAATAGGCATAGAATTTGGGATCTGTCATTTTTGAGGAGAAGATAAAGTTAGTTTAGTTTGTATGAGCGATTATTGTATTGTGTTAGGCAGGAGAATGTTGCAGTTTCTTGGAAGTTCATGTTAAAAGATTGTGTATAGACACTGACTAGTCAAATGGAGTAGACCTTGCTGGATGTTGCCTACTGGCACTTGACATCTGTTTCCACCCTCTTTCCACTGTAGTGCAGGTGACAGAAGCTAAGGACATTTCTGAGACATGTTTGCTGCCAGAGTACACATGTAATTTAGGTTCTACAAATGAAGTATATCTGAGTAAGACGTGGAAGACTGAAAGAAGTGGAAAGCCATTCTTCTTAAAGTGATTGTAGCTGACAGACAGACTTGCAGATATGAGTCTTTTTATCTCTCAACTTCATGCATTACTGTCTAATTGCTGTTGATGTATATATGGGTGGTATAATGTTGGCAGTAATTATAGCAAAATTGGCTATAATATGAATTTAAGCCCAGCGCTACCCCATATCTTCTGCTCTATCAGCTGTTTTAGTAAATTGAAAAATAGCTTTCCACTTTGATCCCTGTCTACTGGAAATATCTAAGGCGTTTTTCTTTGCTGTATTGAAATCAGTGTAATATTGGTAGAGTTATGTGCCATATAATCATATTTTGGCTAGTGATGGACATCATGTATTATGTGGTCCCATAAGATTATAATACTGTATTTTTGCTGTATTTTTTCTATGTTTAAATACACAAATGCTGGCCATTACATTACAACTGCCTACAACTGTTCAGTAACATGCTGTACATGCTTTTAGCCTAGGAGCAATAGACTATACGATAGCCTAGGTGTGTAGGAGGCTCTATCATTTAGGTTTCTGTAAGTACACTCTATGATATTCACACAATGATGAAATTGTGCATTTCGCACATCTTTCAATGACAGATGATTGCATTGGGATAGACAAATAGAAAAATGGAACAGGAAAGAGAGTCCATAAATGAAACCTCATATATAAACAAACTTGATTTATATAAGAACTGGCACTGCAGAAGACCAGCAAAGAAAGGAAAAACCATTCAATAATAATGTTGAGTGAAGATGTTAACGTGGAAAAAATAAGATTGGATCCTTACTTCAGACCACACATAAAAACTATTTTCTGGTGAATCAAAGACTTATATGTGAAAGAAAATATATTACAATATTTAAAATATATTTTTCTATTGTTTCTTTAAGACTTTGGAATAAGAGTTCATTAACAAATAAATATATATTGCTAAAAATAGAATGGGAAAGTTTGATAAATTCTATTACATTAAAACTAAGAACTTATGCTTATCAGAAAACACCGTAGGAAGCAAACATACTATATACTTGAAGAAGGTATTTGCAACACATAACAGCTAAAACAACACACATAATTGTCTAATAGTAACCAACATATATAAAGAAGCTTATAAAAAAAATTGACAAGAAAACTGATAGAAAAGTGAGTAAGCATTTGAAAAGGAATTACACAGAAGAGAAAATAATAAAAAGCCCATATACATGTGAAAAATGCTTAACCTTCTTAACAATGATCAAAATACAAATTATCACCATAGTGAGATCCAATTTCATACCAAACCACCTGAAAAAATTAAAATTGTTAGAATAGCAAGGATGGTGAATATTCAGGTCATCCTCAACACTATAACCTCCTAATGAGAAAGTTACCTATTTATCACTTTAGAAATATTTTGTCATTGTCTAGTAAGTTTGCCTGTACACATTTTCTATCATCTAGATATTCCTCCATTAGCTACATACTTTAAAGAGTTTTTGGAACACAGGTTTCTATAGGTATGTACAAGAATTCATAATAGCACATTTATAATTATAAATACCTGAGAACAACCCTAATGTCTATTAGCAGGAAAATAATAAATAAATTGCAGTATATATATATAACCTCATAGTATACAGCAATGAAAATAAATGAATTACTGCCACATGCAAAAAAAAGAGTGAATCTCAAGAAGATAATTTAGATAAAAATGCTTAGGTAAGTAGGAAGAAATAGTTTTAGAGTAAATAAAATTAAAAAATAATGAGTAATGAGAAAAAATAATGAGTAAAACAATAGAAAAGTAAAGTAACTAATAATGAGACCATGTTGGCTTTTTAGAAAAAAAAGTAAATCATGATATTAAAAAGTATTGGGGCGGAGGGAGGAGCCAAGATGGCCGAATAGGAACAGCTCCGGTCTACAGCTCCCAGCGTGAGCGACGCAGAAGACGGGTGGTTTCTGCATTTCCATCTGAGGTACCGGGTTCATCTCACTAGGGAGTGCCAGACAGGGGGCGCAGGCCAGTGGGTGCGCGCACCGTGCTCGAGCCGAAGTAGGGCGAGGCATTGCCTCACCTGGGAAGCGCAAGGGGTCAGGGAGTTCCCTTTCCGAGTCAAAGAAAGGGGTGACGGACGCACCTGGAAAATCAGGTCACTCCCACCCGAATATTGCGCTTTTCAGACCGGCTTAAAAAATGGCGCACCACGAGACTATATCCCACACCTGGCTCGGAGGGTCCTACGCCCACGGAATCTCGCTGATTGCTAGCACAGCAGTCTGAGATCAAACTGCAAGGCGGCAGCGAGGCTGGGGGAGGAGCGCCCGCCATTGCCCAGGCTTGCTTAGGTAAACAAAGCAGCCGGGAAGCTTGAACTGGGTGGAGCCCACCACAGCTCAAGGAGGCCTGCCTGCCTCTGTAGGCTCCACCTCTGGGGGCAGGGCACAGACAGACAAAAAGACAGCAGTAACCTCTGCAGACTTAAATGTCCCTGTCTGACAGCTTTGAAGAGAGCAGTGGTTCTCCCAGCACGCAGCTGGAGATCTGAGAACCGGCAGACTGCCTCCTCAAGTGGGTCCCTGACCCCTGACCCCCGAGCAGCCTAACTGGGAGGCACCCCCCAGCAGGGGCACACTGACACCTCACATGGCAGGGTATTCCAACAGACCTGCAGCTGAGGGTCCTCTCTGTTAGAAGGAAAACTAACAAACAGAAAGGACATCCACACCAAAAACCCATCTGTACATCACCATCATCAAAGACCAAAAGTAGATAAAACCCCAAAGATGGGGAAAAAACAGAACAGAAAAACTGGAAACTCTAAAACGCAGAGTGCTTCTCCTCCTCCAAAGGAACGCAGTTCCTCACCAGCAACGGAACAAAGCTGGATGGAGAATGACTTTGACGAGCTGAGAGAAGAAGGCTTCAGACGATCAAATTACTCTGAGCTACGGGAGGACATTCAAACCAAAGGCAAAGAAGTTGAAAACTTTGAAAAAATTTTAGAAGAATGTATAACTAGAATAACCAATACAGAGAAGTGCTTAAAGGAGCTGATGGAGCTGAAAACCAAGGCTCGAGAACTACGTGAAGAATGCAGAAGCCTCAGGAGCCGATGCGATCAACTGGAAGAAAGGGTATCAGCAATGGAAGATGAAAGGAATGAAATGAAGCGAGAAGGGAAGTTTAGAGAAAAAAGAATAAAAAGAAATGAGCAAAGCCTCCAAGAAATATGGGACTATGTGAAAAGACCAAATCTACGTCTGATTGGTGTCCCTGAAAGTGATGGGGAGAATGGAACCAAGTTGGAAAACACTCTGCAGGATATTATCCAGGAGAACTTCCCCAATCTAGCAAGGCAGGCCAACGTTCAGATTCAGGAAATACAGAGAACGCCACAAAGATACTCCTCAACAAGAGCAACTCCAAGACACATAATTGTCAGATTCACCAAAGTTGAAATGAAGGAAAAAATGTTAAGGGCAGCCAGAGAGAAAGGTTGGGTTACCCTCAAAGGGAAGCCCATCAGACTAACAGCTGGTCTCTCGGCAGAAACCCTACAAGCCAGAAGAGAGTGGGGGCCAATATTCAACATTCTTAAAGAAAAGAATTTTCAACCCAGAATTTCATATCCAGCCAAACTAAGCTTCATAAGTGAAGGAGAAATAAAATCCTTTACAGACAAGCAAATGCTGAGAGATTTTGTCACCACCAGGCCTGCCCTAAAAGAGCTCCTGAAGGAAGCGTTAAACATGGAAAGGAACAACCGGTACCAGCCGCTGCAAAATCATGCCAAAATGTAAAGACCATTGAGACTAGGAAGAAACTGCATCAACTAACGAGCAAAATCACCAGCTAACATCATAATGACAGGATCAAATTCACACATAACAATATTAACTTTAAATATAAATGGACTAAATGCTCCAATTAAAAGACACAGACTGGCAAATTGGATAAAGAGTCAAGACCCATCAGTGTGCTGTATTCAGGAAACCCATCTCACGTGCAGAGACACACATAGGCTCAAAATAAAAGGATGGAGGAAGATCTACCAAGCCAATGGAAAACAAAAAAAGGCAGGGGTTGCAATCCTAGTCTCTCATAAAACAGACTTTAAGCCAACAAAGATCAAAAGAGACAAAGAAGGCCATTACATAATGGTAAAGGGATCAATTCAACAAGAAGAGCTAACTATCCTAAATATATATGCACCCAATACAGGAGCACCAAGATTCATAAAGCAAGTCCTGAGTGACCTACAAAGAGACTTAGACTCCCACACATTAATAATGGGAGACTTTAACACCCCACTGTCAACATTAGACAGATCAACGAGACAGAAAGTCAGCAAGGATACACAGGAATTGAACTCAGCTCTGCACCAAGCAGACCTAATAGACATCTACACAACTCTCCACCCCAAATCAACAGAATATACATTTTTTTCAGCACCACACCACACCTATTCCAAAATTGACCACATAGTTGGAAGTAAAGCTCTCCTCAGCAAATGTAAAAGAACAGAAATTATAACAAACTATCTCTCAGACCACAGAGCAATCAAACTAGAACTCAGGACTAAGAATCTCACTCAAAGCCGCTCAACTACATGGAAACTGAACAACCTGCTCCTGAATGACTACTGGGTACATAACGAAATGAAGGCAGAAATAAAGATGTTCTTTGAAACCAACGAGAACAAAGACACAACATACCAGAATCTCTGGGACGCATTCAAAGCAGTGTGTAGAGGGAAATTTATAGCACTAAATGCCCACAAGAGAAAGCAGGAAAGATCCAAAATTGACACCCTGACATCACAATTAAAAGAACTAGAAAAGCAAGAGCAAACACATTCAAAAGCTAGCAGAAGGCAAGAAATAACTAAAATCAGAGCAGAACTGAAGGAAATAGAGACACAAAAAACCCTTCAAAAAATCAATGAATCCAGGAGCTGGTTTTTTGAAAGGATCAACAAAATTGATAGACCGCTAGCAAGACTACTAAAGAAAAAAAGAGAGAAGAAGCAAATAGACACAATAAAAAAATGATAAAGGGGATAGCACCACCGATCCCACAGAAATACAAACTACCATCAGAGAATACTACAAACACCTCTATGCAAATAAACTAGAAAATCTAGAAGAAATGGATAAATTCCTCGACACATACACTCTCCCAAGACTAAACCAGGAAGAAGTTGAATCTCTGAATAGACCAATAACAGGAGCTGAAATTGTGGCAATAATCAATAGTTTACCAACCAAAAAGAGTCCAGGACCAGATGGATTCACAGCCGAATTCTACCCGAGGTACAAGGAGGAACTGGTACCATTCCTTCTGAAACTATTCCAATCAATAGAAAAAGAGGGAATCCTCCCTAACTCATTTTATGAGGCCAGCATCATTCTGATACCAAAGCCAGGCAGAGACACAACCAAAAAAGAGAATTTTAGACCAATATCCTTGATGAACATTGATGCAAAAATCCTCAATAAAATACTGGCAAACCAAATCCAGCAGCACATCAAAAAGCTTATCCACCATGATCAAGTGGGCTTCATCCCTGGGATGCAAGGCTGGTTCAATATATGCAAATCAATAAATGTAATCCAGCATATAACCAGAGCCAAAGACAAAAACCACATGATTATCTCAATAGATGCAGAAAAAGCCTTTGACAAAATTCAACAACCCTTCATGCTAAAAACTCTCAATAAATTAGGTATTGATGGGACGTATTTCAAAATAATAAGAGCTATCTATGACAAACCCACAGCCAATATCATACTGAATGGGCAAAAACTGGAAGCATTCCCTTTGAAAACTGGCACAAGACAGGGATGCCCTCTCTCACCACTCCTATTCAACATAGTGTTGGAAGTTCTGGCCAGGGCAATTAGGCAGGAGAAGGAAATAAAGGGTATTCAATTAGGAAAAGAGGAAGTCAAACTGTCCCTGTTTGCAGACGACATGATTGTATATCTAGAAAACCCCATTGTCTCAGCCCAAATCTCCTTAAGCTGATAAGCAACTTCAGCAAAGTCTCAGGATACAAAATCAATGTACAAAAATCACAAACATTCTTATACAGCAACAACAGACAAACAGAGAGCCAAATCATGAGTGATCTCCCATTCACAATTGCTTCAAAGAGAATAAAATACCTAGGAATCCAACTTACAAGGGATGTGAAGGACCTCTTCAAGGAGAACTACAAACCACTGCTCAAGGAAATAAAAGAGGATACAAACAAATGGAAGAACATTCCATGCTCATGGGTAGGAAGAATCAATATCGTGAAAATGGCCATACTGCCCAAGGTAATTTACAGATTCAATGCCATCCCCATCAAGCTACCAATGACTTTCTTCACAGAATTGGAAAAAACTACTTTAAAGTTCATACGGAACCAAAAAAGAGCCCGCATCGCCAAGTCAATCCTAAGCCAAAAGAACAAAGCTGGAGGCATCACACTACCTGACTTCAAACTATACTACAAGGCTACAGTAACCAAAACAGCATGGTACTGGTACCAAAATAGAGATATAGATCAATGGAACAGAACAGAGCCCTCAGAAATAATGCCACATATCTACAACTATCTGATCTTTGACAAACCTGAGAAAAACAAGCAATGGGGAAAGGATTCCCTATTTAATAAATGGTGCTGGGAAAACTGGCTAGCCATAGGCAGAAAGCTGAAACTGGATCCCTTCCTTACACCTTATACAAAAATCAATTCAAGATGGATTAAAGATTTAAACATTAGACCTAAAACCATAAAAACCCTAGAAGAAAACCTAGGCATTACCATTCAGGACATAGGCATGGGCAAGGCCTTCATGTCCAAAACACCAAAAGCAATGGCAATAAAAGCCAAAATTGACAAATGGGATCTAATTAAACTAAAGAGCTTCTGCACAGCAAAAGAAACTACCATCAGAGTGAACAGGCAATCTACAAAATGGGAGAAAATTTTCGCAACCTACTCATCTGACAAAGGGCTAATATCCAGAATCTACAATGAACTCAAACAAATTTACAAGAAAAAAACAAACAACCCCATCAAAAAGTGGGTGAAGGACATGAACAGACACTTCTCAAAAGAAGACATTTATGCAGCCAAAAAACACATGAAAAAATGCTCATCATCACTAGCCATCAGAGAAATGCAAATCAAAACCACTATGAGATACCATCTCACACCAGTTAGAATGGCAATCATTACAAAGTCAGGAAACAACAGGTGCTGGAGAGGATGTGGAGAAATAGGAACACTTTTACACTGTTGGTGGGACAGTAAAGTAGTTCAACCATTGTGGAAGTCAGTGTGGCGATTCCTCAGGGATCTAGAACTAGAAATACCATTTGACCCAGCCATCCCATTACTGGGTATATACCCAAATGACTATAAATTATGCTGCTATAAAGACACATGCACACGTATGTTTATTGCGGCATTATTCACAATAGCAAAGACTTGGAACCAATCCAAATGTCCAACAATGATAGACTGGATTAAGAAAATGTGGCACATATACACCATGGAATACTATGCAGCCATAAAAAATGATGAGTTCATGTCCTTTGTAGGGACATGGATGAAATTGGAAATCATCATTCTCAGTAAACTATCGCAAGAACAAAAAACCAAACACCGCATATTCTCTCTTATAGGTGGGAATTGAACGATGAGATCACATGGACACAGGAAGGGGAATATCACACTCTGGGGACTGTGGGTGGGTGGGGGGAGGGGGGAGGGATAGCATTGGGAGATATACCTAATGCTAGATGTCGAGTTAGTGGGTGCAGGGCACCAGCATGGCACATGTATACATATGTAACTAACCTGCACAATGTGCACATGTACCCTAAAACTTAAAGTATAAAAAAAAAAAAAAGTATTGGGGCATTGTGTAGCCATTAAGAAAAATAAAGGTAGATGAATACTTCAAACCTTAACCAAGTACAAAAACCAGAACCACAGACCAACAGACCAACAGAACGGAATAGAGAACCCAGAAATAAAGCCACACACGTACAGCCCTCTAATTGTCAATAAAATCAACAAAAATAAGCAATGAGAAAAGAACATCCTATTCAGTAAAGGATGCTGGGATAGCTGGCTAGCCATATGCAGAAAAAGAGACTAAACCCCCTACTTTTCACCATATACAAAAATTATCTCAAGATCTATTAGAGATTTAAACGTAAGACTTCAAACAGTAAGAATCCTAGAAAAAAAACCTAGGAAACCTTGGGAAATAATTTATGACTAAGTCCTCAAAAATAATTCCAACAAAACAAAAAATTGACAAGTGGGACCTAATTAAACCAAACAGCTTCTGCTTAGCAAAAGAAACTGTCAACAGAGTAAACAGACAACCTTCAGAATGGGAGAAAATATTTCCAAACTATGCATCTGTCAAAGGTCTAATAGCCAGAATCTATAAGAAACTTAAATAATTAAACAAGCAAAAAGCAAATAATGCCATTAAAAAGTGGGCTAAATACATGAACAGACACTTCTCAAAAGAAGACATATGAGTGGCCAGGAAACATAAGAAAAAATGCTTCACATCACTAATCATCAGATAAATGCAAATCAAAATCACAATGAGAATCACAATGTATTAGTCCATTTTCATGCTGCTGATAAAGACATACCCGAGACTGGGCAATTTACAAAGAAAAGAGGTTTAATGGATAACTCACAGCTCTGCATGGCTGGGGAAGCCTCACAGTCATGGTGGAAGGCAAGGAGGAGCAAGTCACATCTTACGTAGATGGTGGCAGGCAAAGAGCTTGTGCAGGCAAACTCCCTTTTATAAAGCCATCAGATGTCGTAAGACTTATTCACTATCACGAGAAAAACACAGGAGAGACTCGCCCCCATGATTCAATCATCTCCCACCAGGTCCCTCCCACAACACATGGGAATTACGGGAGCTACAAGATGAGACTTGGGTGATGACACAGAGCCAAACCATATCAGAAACCATCTCACACCAATCAGAATGGCTATAATTAAAAATTAAAAAAAAATACATGTTGGCAAGGCTGTAGTGAAAAGGGACTGCTGGCCTGGGGTGATGGCTCACCCCTGTAATCCCAGCACTTTGGGAGGCCAAGGCAGGCGGATCACCTGAGATCAGGAGTTCCAGACCAGCCTGGCTGACATGGTGAAACCCCGTTTCTAATAAAAATACAAAAAATTAGTTGGGCGTGGTGGCACGCGCCTGTAATCCCAGCTACTCAGGAGGCTGAGGCAGGAGAATCGCTTGAACCTGGGCGGCGGAGGTTGCAGTGAGCCGAGATCGTGCCATTGAACTCCAGCTTGGGCAACAAGAGCGAAACTCTGTCTCAAAAAAAAAAAAAAAAAAAAAAAGAGAGAGAAAAGGGACTGCTTACACACACTGTTGGTGGGAATGTAAATTAGTTCAGCCACTGTGGAAAACAGCTTGGAGATTTTTCTAAGAATTTAAAGCAGAACCACCATTCAACTCAGCAATCTCATTACCGGGTATATATCCAAAAGAAAATAAATGATTCTACCAAAGGACACATGCACTCACATCTTCATCACAGCACTATTCCCCATAGCAAAGACATGGAATCAACTTAGGAGCCCATCAACAGTAGAATGGATTAAAAAAATGTGGTACATATACACCACACCATGGAATACTATGCAGTGACAAAAAGAGATGAAATCATGTCCTTTGAGCAACATTGGTGCAGCTGGAGGCCATTATTCTAAGTGAATTAATGCAGGAACAGCAAACCAAATAATGCATGTTCTCACTTCTAAGTTGGATCTAAACATTGTGTACTCATGGATATAAAGATGGTAACAATAGACACGGTGGACTACCAGACAAGGGAGGAAGAGAGGGTAGAAAAGGCTGAAAAACTACCTATCAGGTACTATGCTCACTACTTGGGTGATGGGATCAATCCTACCCCAAACCAAAGCATTACACAATATAGCCATGTAGTAAATCTGCACATGTACCCCTGATTCTAAAATAAAATAAAAGTTGAAATTAAACAAACAAAACAAAATACACCTTAGCCAAGGTAAATTACAAAAGGTCAAAAGTTTAGATGAAAAATATGTAATCATAAAAGTCATAGAAAACAATGTGGAAGAATTTTTTAAGTATATAGTGAAGTTAATTTTCTATGTATGATGACAAATCTGGAATTCATTTGAAAATGTTGAATAATTGACCACATAGAAATGAAAAGAATTATGCATGTTTAAAAAAATTAACAAAGTAAAAATGACAAAGAATAGATGCAACTTATAAAACAGACATAGGACAAATATTCTTAATATATGAAGAGTACCTTACACATTTATAATTTAAATGATGTACTTCGTAAATGTCCACAGAAATAGTTCACAGAAATGAAAGTACACATCTTTTTAAGACATCAGAAGATGTTTAGCCTCACTCACATTTAGAGAATTGGAGATTGAAACTTCAATGACGCAATTTCATCTATTTTATTCACAAAGATCTAACACAGTGGGGTTGGATAGGCATTGTTAGTCCATTTGCGTTGCTATAAAGGAATACCCACGTCTGGTGTTTTATGAAGAAAAGAGGCTTATTTGCCTCATGTTTCTGCAGCTGTACAGGAAGCATGGCATCAGCATCTGCTTCTAGTGAGGCCTCAGGAAGCTTCCACTTACTGTACAAGGCAAAGGGGAGCAGGTGTGTCACATGGAAAAAGAGGAAGCAAGAGAGATGCCAAGCTTTTTTAAACAACCAGCTCTTGCGTGAACTAATAGAGTGGGAGGTTATTACTGAAAGGAGGGCACCAAGCCATTCATAAGGATCCACCCCCATGACCCAAATGCGTCTCATCAGGCTCCACCTGCAACACTGAGGATCAGATTTCAATATGAGATTTGGAGGAGACAAAACATCCCACCTATATGATAGGCACTCTCATCCATTGCTCATGGGTAATTTAAATTGGTAAATCTATGGAGGGGAACTTCGCAATATCAGTAAAATTATAGGCGCCATTTCCTTTGATACCATAATTCTACCTCTAAGAATTTATCTTAAATGTGTGAAATGCTTTCTATATAATTTATTTCAGTATAATTTATAATAGTAAAGACTGGAAACAACCTATTCATCTGTAGGATTTGGTTAAATTTATTGCACTACATTTATACAACAGAAACCAGGCAATCATAAAAATGATGAAAAAGTGCTTTATAAATGTGAATGGAATCATCTCCAAGTCAGATTTTACAAAGTTAAGTCAAACACATACACACACACACACACACACACACACACACATCCAGGGAGAGAGAGGGGGGGAGAGAGAGAGAAAGAGAGAGAGAGAGAAAGGTTTTAAAGCAGTGTAGTAGCATGCTATCATTGTAAGAAAAATGTGTTCTGCTTTTAAATGCCTATAGTATTCCTGGAAGGAATACTACAAGAAATACAATAAGAACAAGAAGTACAAGAAGTACAAGAAATAGTGACTTTGGTTACTCATTCAGAGAACTGGTTGACTGGAAGGGTGGGAGAGCAGTGGGGAGGGAGGAAATTTACTTTTGAGTTCCAAACCAACTGAATGTGTTAGCTGAACTGATCAAATATTTTTTAAATGACTTATAAAATAATTGAGAGAATGAAGTAGCTGCATCAGGATGATATTCTCTTCTTCCTACCAGGCACACCCTAAAGGACAATTCTCAGCTTTCCTTCCTTAGATGTAATCATGTGACCTGGTTACAGCCAGTGAAGGAGGCCCAGAAGTGCAGTGTTTGATTTTTGCCACTGCTATTAATAAGCAACCGTACTATCAAGCAACTGTGTGCTTGGTGGGTGCAAATGATGACAGGGATAGTGGAGCCTCAGGGTGAGAGGAGCATATGGATTCCTGAATAACCATGGCAATGTGAGTGACTCACATATCAGGAACCCTTATTTGGACTAACACATAAGCAAGAAATAAACTTATTTGGTTGGAACTATCACATGTTTTTAGTAATATTTGTTAGCTCAGATTTACCTCCCTTAATACAGAAATTGCGACTAATACAGGAGTATGGTATTGCTGTGACAGAATGGTAAAATACATGCCATTGATTTAGATGGTGTGTGGCAAGAAAACAGGTACCATATGCTATAGAGTTGGAAATATGCATTTTCTTCTGCGGTGACAAAACATTTGATAGAACTACCACTGCAATAAATTGGAAGGCAAACACGTGCCTGCTGAGCCAGAGTGTTAGTATTTGTTGGCTTTTACCTGCCGTTTTGAGAAGGAAAGATGAAAAAGATGGAAAAGACAACTAAACCCCAAAGAGCAAGTTTGTACACTTCTATATTTCCAACCTAGGCGATTAGTTCAGGCAGTATCTTTAAGTAGAGAGAGAGGCATAGTGGATTATATAGTTTGGATGTCCCCTCCAAATCTCATGTTGTACTGTAATTCCCAACTTTGGAAGTGAGGCCTGGTGGGAGGTGTTTGGGTCATAGGGGCAGATCCCTCAAGACTTGGTGCTGTCCTTGCAATAGTGAGTGAGTTCTTGCAAGATGATCTCGTAAAGTTTGGAATGTCCTCCCTCACTCTCTCTGTCTTGCTCCCATACTATGTGAGTGCCTGCTCACCCTTCACCTTCTGCGAACATTGTGAGCTTCCTGAGGCCTCCCCAGATGCCAGGCAGATGCCAACACCATGCTCCCTGTAAAGCCAGCAGAACTATGAGCCAATTAAACAAACCTCTTTTCTTTATAAATTACCAGTTTCAGGTATTTCTTTATAGCAGTGTAAGAACAGCCTAATACATTGGAGCAAAGATGAAACTCATTTAATCCAGTATAAAAGTTACACCTAGAAAAGAACTTTGAATATGGTTATAGGCATAAGGAATTTTTGGAAGCAATCAGGCCAGACATTTACTAGTCTGAGAGTACTGTATGTCTAATCCATGAAAACAAAAACCCAAACATATTTGATTATTTTGGATTTGGATTTTGAAATAACCCTTGGATCCTCAAACCTGCATGAGCAAAAAGTTGGCTGCAAAAGCTATATTCTCCCAAGAAGAAAATATTCTACAATACCTATTACACATATGACATAAAAGATAAGGACCAGGGAGAACTTGACAAAGGGCAGTGCCAGGGGCAATAGAAAAGTAGAGTCTAATCCCAGGTTTATCTTTTTATCTTTTTGGGCTTCTCTTCTCCATCTTGGTCCTCCATATTCTTACTTCCTTGAGTTTTCTAATGCAATCAAATAGACTTAAAACATAATTTCCTCCAATTTCTCTAAGTGTATTTGTGGAAGAGTTTTTCTGTGTCAAGTTTATACATAATTGCTTGAAGAAAAAGTGTTTCCTTTTTTTTTTAACAAAGCTTCCCAGGTGATTCTATTAATAATATGCAGCAAACACTGAGAGGACTGTGTCTTTCTTGGTACTTAGGTCAGTCATAGAAAATGAGAAGTCTCTGACTCAGTAACTCTAGTTTCATTTTATACCCACACACAAAAAAAGAACTTTGTTGTTAATGAAGAGTGCGATGGCTCTCTCCCCTCCTTAACCTATCTCAGCAAATTATTGTCTATAACTTAATACACAGCTTCTATCCTTTAGTTTAATATAAGGTTTCTCCTTTATTAAAAACGCAACATGTATGTAAGTAAGATATATTACCACTTAATTTTACACTAAAGTTAAAACTTAGATCATTAATTTACTAAAAAAGTTAGCAGTTACTATGTCTCATGTCTAAACATATAAGCAAATTGCAAATGTGAAATTAAAATGTTTAAATTATCAATGTTTATATGACACATTTAATGATATACATAAATATCTAAGATGATAATTTGGTTATTAAGATTAAATGGTTTAATCAATGCCTGTAATTTGCTATCAGTGTAAGTGTGTGACAGACATTGCTGTTTGCCTGTCATTAGTCATTTTCATTTTCTTCTATGCTGGAAAAAAAACTGATTCAGGTGTTCATATTCTGACTTCTAACTCAAACACTTTTTGCTTAATTTATACTATTGGGTTTCATTTTCCTTACTGGGGGTTTGTTGAGAGTGGGCAGTGGTGTATTGGTAAATGTTTAACCACTAGCTCTCAAAAGAAAGAAAGAAGGAAGGAAAGAAAGAAAAGAAAAGAAAAGAAAGGGAGGGAGGGGGAGAAAGAAAGGGAGAAAGGAGGAAAGGAAAGAGGAAAGGAAGAAAGAAAATGAGAAAGGAAGAGAAAGAAAGAAAAGAAAGAAAAAAGAAAGAAAGGAAGGAAGAAAGAAAGAAAGAAAGAAAGAAAGAAAGAAAGAAAGAAAGAAAGAAAGAAAGAAAGAAAGAAAGGGGAAATAAGGTCTCTGATTTGTAGCACAGAACAATTTCTCTGGCGTGGCCAGTTCAAGCTACCAATGTTACATCAACTGGCTCACAACATTCTTGGAAATTTAACAATTGGCTCTTGCAAGCCAGGATGAACCTACTCCAACATACCAGCGAGGATGAATATCTGTGTGGGTCCCTGCCAAGGAGAAATGAAGAAAGTTTGGAGATTACATTAGAGAAAGATTTTATTACTCATAAAAAGAGAATCAGAAGAATAAGACAATCATTCTCTTTCTGGTACTTATCCAACTTTTTATTATGAAAAAAACATTCAGCAGATTTGAAATAATTTTATAGTAAATGCATATACTTATCATCTGGATTCCACCATTAACAGTTTTACATAGCTATCAATACACTTTGTACTTTATCTATCAATCCAACAGACTATGTTATTTCATAATGCATTTCAAAGTAAATTTCAGCTATCAATACCCTTCTCAGTAGATACTTCAGCATTTGTAGTATTAACTAGAGTTCACTATATTTTGTAGATTTTCCTTTTTTTGCAGTAAAATTTATAATTATATGTAAAAATCCTAAGTGATAAATGTGTATGCTTGTGTAACCCAAACTCCCAACAACAAATAGAAAAAGTTCACCCCCAAAACTTCTCTTGCCCTTTTTGTAAGTTAATTCCCACTTTCTCACACAAGAGGCAACAACACTTCTGATGTTTTTCTAAGGTAGATTAATTTTGCCTGTTCTAGAACTTCATATAAATAGAACCATACAATATGCACACTTTTGTATAGGGCTCTTTTCATCCAGCATAAGGCTTTTGGGATTCATCTATGTTGCTGTGTATGTGGTTTTGTTTGTTTTTATTGTGCAGTTAGTATTTCATTGTATGAATATATTGCAGTTTCTTTGTGCATTCTCCTACGGATAGATATCTGGGATTTTTTCCAGTTTGGGCTATTTTGAATAAAACTGCTATCAACATTTTTTTTTTTTTTTGAGACAGAGTCTCGCTCTGTCACCAGGCTGGAGTGCAGTGGCACGATCTTGGCTCACTGCAACCTCCGCTTCCCAGGTTCAAGCAATTCTCCCGCCTCAGCCTCCCGAGTAGCTGGGATTACAGGCGCGTGCCACCACGCCCAGCTAATTTTTCTATTTTTAGTAGAGATGGGGTTTCACCATGTTGGTCAGGCTGGTCTTGATCTCGTGACCTCATGATCCACCTGCCTCGGCCTCCCAAAGTGCTGGGATTACAGGCATGAGCCACCGTGCCTGGCCTATCAACATTTTATACAAGTCTTTTTGTGAACATGTTTTTATCTTGAGTAACCACCTAGAAGTGGGATTGTTGGATCATAAGAAAAATATGTATTTAATTTTATAATAAAGGGTTTTCAAAAGAGATTACAACAATTTATACTCCATCAAAAATATGTGTGAGTCCCAGTTGCTTTGCATTTGGCCAATATTTGATGTTGGCAGTCATTTTAATTTTAGCCATTGTGGTGGGTTATGGTGGTATCTCATGTCCTTGTTGACTAATGACGTTGAACACTTTTCCATGTGATTATTCGTTGTTCATATATTCTTTTTTAAAAATGAAATGTTTATTCAAATATTTGAGCTATTTTTTATTGTGCTGTTCATGTTTATATAATTAAATTATATAGGGGGCTATTATATAGCCCCTATTATGTAGGGGCTATTTATATATCCTAGATATATATTCCAGTCCTTTGTCAGATATGTTTTGCAAATATTTCCTTCTGGTCTGTAGCTTGTTTATTAATTTTCTTAAAGATGACTTTTAATAAGCAGTTTTTAATATTGATGAAATTTAACTTTTAAATCCTTTTTTTATTCACTCTCTCTAAGAAATGTCCTCTTTGTCCCAAGTTCCTAAAGTTTTCTCCTGTTTTCATTTAAATATATATATATATATTTTTTCTCTCTCTCTCATTGGATTGCTTTGGTGCCTTTGTAGAGAATCGAATAACCATATAATTGTGGGTCTATGTCTGGGCTTGGTGTGCTATTCTTTTGATATATTTGTATATCTTTAACACTATACTGTCTTGATTATTATAGCTTTACCTTTACTATTACTTTGTTATCTTAAAAGATTAATTTTAATGATTTTAAAGGTGATTATCAACATTCTAAAGCCTTTGGATTTCCACACACATTTGCAAATCCACTTGTCAATTCATAAACATAATTCTGCTGGAACTATAATCGGAATTGCTTAGATCTATAGACCAATTTAGTAAGAATGGACATATTAACAATATTGAGTCTTTCTGAAATAAACTGATCATAGATACATAGACAAACAGAACAGTGAGTTGACTTGTTAATTACTATTAATTTGGGGGATTGTTCATCCTTGAGTTGAAACAAGTAATTATAGTATAATGATGAGGAAAAAAAAATTCCTTATTTTGCACACCACCTACCATCTGGCAAGTTTTTATCTAATGTCTTCTAGGCTGATCCTGGAATTTGGGCATGAACTTAGTGGTTTTGAGAGTCCATGCAGTGTGCCTTAACATTGATTCCTTTCCATAAATTTCAAACATGAAAAAAGATCAGCAAAAGTCCCAAACAACTTTTAAAACAGCTTTAATAAATAAAAATATAAATTTCAATAACTCCCAAGCTGGAGTACAGTGGCGTGATCATAGTTCACTGTAGCCTTCAACTCCTGGACTCAAGTGATTCTCCCACCTAAGCCTCTGGAATAGCTGAGATTACAAGCAGGACCCCCTGCCCTTGGTTTAAAGTAGCTGAATTGAGATGCGATTCACAAATCATACAGTTCACCAAAGTGTACATTTGTTTAGTAAATTCACAGAGTTGTGTAACTATGGCCAAAATCTAAGTTTAGAAAGTTATTGTTCCCATGGAAAGAAACCCTATACTCATTTTCTTCTTCCTCCCCCAAGCCCCAGCATTCTCACCCTTGTGGCACCTGAAGTGGAGTTTCCTCCCTATGCGTCAGAGCTTCTTGGGGGATGGTAGGCCTGATCCTCTCAGTCCTAGAATAGAATTTCTGTAATATGAGGCTGGGCAGGGGTGGGGAGGGGAGAAGAAATGATGGCAGCTTGTGCCTTCTAGGGAAAATTGGAGCCTCAGCCTGGGAGCTGGAAGGAGAGGGAGACTTGTCTTCTTGGCTGCACCTGCCTGGAGTAGAGCACCCAGGGTAGAGCTTTCCTAACATGGAGATGAGAGTGGGTGACAAGGGAGTGGGTCATGATTCAAATGCCACAGACTCTCACCGGGATTACAAGAAAATTTGGCTGATTTTCTTGAATGCATGTTTCTCCATTTGCTGTATGCCCTTAAGGACAATTTCCAGAGATTTTAAACACTTAAAAAAAAATACATGTATATAATTTTTACCAGTTCAATTGTTTTGCTGAAACATGCAGGCCTCTGAACTCCTTACTATGTTATTCTGAAGTCCCAAAATATTTCTTGGTCATTCTTAAAAGATTTCTCTGCCAGGTTAAAGGCTAACTAATCATGCCTAAGTCTTTTACTAAATCCCCGCTCCTTCACTCCACAACCCTCACAATGGTGTGTGTGTATATGTATATATATATATACACACACACACACCATATATATATAGCATATATATACCATATATATAGCATATATATATACACCATATATATATACACCATATATATACCATATATATATACACACACACACTACACACACACACACACACATACACACAGTTATGCATGTTATGCTATGCAGTTAGCCAGTGTTGTTTTGGTCTGATGCTGTCTTGGGTTAGTGAGGAATCAAGTGAAGGGCAGTACATTCTTCCCTGTCAAGTTTTTTATTTTTATTTTTTTGGTTTGTTCGTTTTTTTTTTTTTGATGATGCTTGTCTCCATCTGCCTGCTTCTACTTGGTTTCCTGCATATTTCAATTCCTATCAATCTCCTGCCTTCTAGACAGCTGCATAACGTTGAAGTTGATCTATCATTTGATTTCTGTGGGCATCTCTAACTTTTGCCTGTCCTCCTTCACTAAGCTGAGCCTCTGGTGCATTCTGCTTTTCTTTCTCCTAGCTTCTTGCTTCCTTACCTTAATTGGCAGCCACTAAGAGCCCACTTAGACAAAAGCATTATGAGATCATCTGGCAGCATTTGGCCTTAGGTACGGAACAGAGGAGTATATCACGGTGGAGTGATGCAATGAATTGAACAAAAGGTCAGGTCACAAAATAGAAAAATACTGGGGAAGTGTAGTCAAGAATAATATTTTGTTTAGCATTACTCTTGCTATCTAATTAATGTCAATCCATATCAATTCCATTAAAATGGTCCCCCATAGGCTAGGGGACAGAAATCCCTAGCTGAATGTGGAGGAACCTTTTGAATTATTTGCTGCTGCCAGACCCTCTTTCAATCCCTCATTTACTTCCCCAGTATTTGAATTGATGGATGCGGTTCAACAATTCTGGCATTTTGAATCAGCACATGTGGTTAAAATTAATAATCTGAAGCTCTCCAACTTTGAGTCTAGTTAGCATTGACTTCCCTTTGGACTATGCTTCTTAACTAGTCTTACTTATGATTAGTAATGATTTCAAACCTTTTAACGCACACCCCTATTATTGATTAATGCTAAGATCTATTGTTTTCACTTATCAGTGATCCCTTCTGTGGCCTGCAGTGCTGAGCAATATTTCTTGAAAATTTATAACGAAAAGGATCAGACTCCTAAAGGTTGCTAGGCAATTCTAGAACCATATTACAGTACTTTGATCTGCAACTTCTAGTGCTCTTGGGAAAAAGTGAGACAAGTGTGTCATTTCCAATTCCTTTATTCAACATATACTTGGTGAATATCTATGACTATTGCAAAAACTAAAGGAAATAAAAATTTGGACAAAATGTGAGTTTTGCCTTCATGGAAATCACAGCTTAATATTATATTTATGGAAAAAATTTATAATGGTATGTAGACTGTGTACTATTCTGTGATAGAAATATAAACAAATGCTTTATTTACCAGCCTGGGCAACATAGTGGGACCCCATCTGTATTAGTTCATTTTCACACTGCTGATAAAGACATATCCAAGACTGGGTAATTTATAAAGAAAAAGAGGTTTAATGGACTCACAGTTCCATGTGGCTTGGCAGGCCTTACAATCAGGCTGGACGGTGAAAGGGATGTCTTATATTGGCAGCAGGCAAAAGAGAAAATGAGAGCCAAGCAGAAGGGGTTTCCCCTTATAAAACCATCAGATCTTGTGAGACTTATTCACTACTGCAAGAACAGTATGAAGAAAACCACCCCCATAATTCAATTATCTCCCACCTGGTCCCTCCTGCAACATGTGGGAATTATGGTAGCTACAATTCAAGATGAGATTTGAGTGGGGACACAGCCAAACCATGTCACCATCTCTACAAAAAAAAAACTAACTTGGTATGGTGGTGCGCCTCTGTAGTCCTACTTACTTGGGAAGCTCAGATGGGAGGATCGCTCGAGCCTGTGAGGCCAAGGTTGCAATGAGCATGATTACCCCACTGCACTCCAGACTGGGTGGCAAAAACAGACTCTGTCTCAAAAAAAAAAAAGACTTCATTCATTCATTCAATAAATATTATTGAGTGTCTACCAGAGTCTGGAGGTACTACTGTGAATAAATAAAAGTTTTGTCCATGAAACCTATTGGTAAGGGAGAGATTGCTTACATTTGCAAAAATTAGAGAAGCCTTCTTTAAGAGGTGGCATTTAAGAGGGTCCTTAAAGAAAAAGTAATATTTATCCATGTAGAAAGGCATTTCAGGAAAAGTGAGTAAAGATAGGCATGAAGAACAGACAGGCCAGGAATGCTCACCAAATGGCTGCCAGGTTTTTTGAGTTTGAGTTTAGAGAAACAAAGAGGCAGAATAGGAGGAAAACCAAGAAATTAGGTTGAGGTCAGAGTATGGAAAGACTTGTTGTCTGTCCATTCATCCATCCGTCCATCCTTCCATCCATCCATCCATCCATCCAGTAAACAACCTGATGTGAAGGTGCCATCAAAGAAACTCAGATTACAAGCAGAAAAGGAGCCAAATTTGTAGTGGAATATGTGAATATTTTAGAATACGTAGCTGGAATTAGATGTGGCTGAGCAGTGTTCATTTTCAAGGGGGTGAGATTTCTTAACTTTACTACTTCAGCCTGTGTCCTCTTTGGGGACTGGATGTTCTTCACCCTTGAAAATGAAAGACTCAGACTTATAGTCAATGCAGGATGTTGTCAGTGTTTCTGAGAAATAATCAGCTTTTCTCAAGTGGGTGAAAAATGGGCAGTCTCCAATTTCAGCCTCTCAAAAATGCCAAGTAGTTTCTCATCATCCTTTAATTTGTGACACTAAACAACAGAGACAACCTGCTTGGTGGGATTTAAGGTGGAGAGAGAACAGTGTCTGATATCCTTTAAGGTTTACAGTGACTGCTTAAAAGCTCAGACTCAAGGCCGTTTGGCCTTGCTGTCCTCCATCCTTCAATCCCCTGCTACACTCAAAATGCAAACTCCCCCAGACAACATTGCTCTTACACCAAGTCATCCTCATCCCTTATGCCACTCTTCAATTCTATTGCTGGCCCCCCTTCGATCTATTTTTCTGAGACCTCTTTTACCTTCTTTTCATCTGTGTCATTGCATTCTCATGGCCTTGTATTAGTCTGTTTTCACATTGCTATAAAGAACTACTTGAGACTTGGTAACTTATGAAGAAAAAAGATTTAATTGGCTCACAGTTCTGCAGGCTTAACAGGAAACATGACTGTACGGTCTCAGGAAACTTACAATCATGGCAGAAGGCAAAGGGGAAGCAAGCACCTTCTTCCCGTGGTGGCAGGAGAGAGAGAGGGAGTGAAGGGGGAAGTGCCACACACTTTTAAACCAACAGATCTTATGAGAATTCACTCACTATCACAAGAACAGCAAGAGGGAAACCGCCCCCAAGATCCAATCACCTCTCACCAGGTCCCTCCTCTAGTTCGACATGAAATTTGGATGGGGACACAAATCCAAGCCATATCAGACTTCAACTCTTTCCCTAGCTAGGCTACACATTCTAATGCCTTCTAATGTATTATGTCAACCACTCGAGTGCCACCATATTCAGCATCCTAATTTCCTTCTATTTCGCCTGCATCCTTACCTCAAACCTTAATCTTCAATCAAGGCATATACTTGTTTTCTCTCTTTCTAAAGTGCTGATGAGAAAACCACAAAACTGGGTGGATTTATGCCACTGTATATACCTGGTTTCCAGCCTTTAGCTGGGGAGTTCCACTTTCCTAAAGGTAGAGTATCAACATAAATTATTTGAAATTCTTCTTAGGAGATTTTTCTTTTCTCTTTTATTAGTTTATTTATTCAACCATTTATTTATATCACTATAGACTCATGGATGTCTGTTTTGCACTTTGGGTGATAATCCAATACTACTTAATTTTGCTCAAATTTTTCCGGCTTTGGCCATTGTGAGCTCTTTTGTTTAACTCCTGGGTCCCTTTGACATACGCTCATAATTGTGTGTGTTTGTGTGTGATTGTGTGTGATTGCGTGTGTTTGTGTGTGTTTGTGTGTGATTGAAGAAGCATATGTTAGAGTGTTTCTTTACATACTGGTATTACAAGATGTTCCAGATTCATCTTGCATATTTTCTTCCTTACTCTTAGATTCAACCATTTTTCCATAAGGAGCCATTTTATTCTTCCTTTTATTGGAGAATTGTATTAGAAATCAAGATTTGGGCAGTTGGTGCCCTCTCTGCTACTGGGCTATCATGGTTTCCAGGCTCTCTAATCTGACAGAGCATGTGCGCGTGTGCATGCGCACACACACACACAAATTGGTGTGTGTACACATACTTATAAATATTTCTAACGTATCCGTATGTATCTATATTAAGGTAAACATGAGTTCATACTGATGGTCTCCAAGGAGCCAAGTACCACATGGTTAGTTCCAGTCCTCCCCCTTCTTTTCTAAAATCTCCCGCTCCAACAGTGAAAAACCTGGTTTCTGCTATCCATCATCCATTTATTTGTTTTTGTATAGTGGTTTCCAAACTGGTAACCTATACGCTGGTTGGAAAAAGCTTTATCCAACTGGAGCATGGTGCTTGTGTACCATTTATTTTGCCTTTTGTTTTACAGCATCCATTTATTTTCAACATTACTTAGGTCAGAACATTTTCCCCATACCATTCAGTAAGTTTGTCTCATTTATTTGTAATGCAGTTTGATTCTCTTGTCCCAATCTGCCTTCTTTTCTGAAATTCCAAGATCTTCTAAATTAAATTCTTTTTTTAAAAATTGCACAAATTAAAGTTTACTACTTGTGCTATGAAGTCCAGTGTGTTTTCATAAGTGCATGATATCATATATCAACCATTATAGTACTGTACAGCATCGTTTCACTACTGCCAAAATCTCCTGTGCCTCATGGATTCAACCCTTTTTCCCCTTGAATTCCTGGCAATCACTGATCACTTTCCAGTCCATGGACACAAACTAACTTTGAATTTGTTTAGGCTTCTTTAATTTATTATGCCAATGTGTTGTAGTTTTTTTACCTACAGATTCTGTATCTATTATGTTATGTTTCTACTTAGGTGTACACATTTTTGGTGAGATTGTAAATATTAAAAAAAAATTAGATTACAATTGTTCAAGGCTGGTATACAAAAAAAAATTTCCCTTTGTACACTGACCTTGTTTCTAGTCATCTTGTTCCCCTAGCTTATTCGTTCCAGGATTTCTTTGTAGATTCTTTAGAGTTTTCTCATAGACAGTCATGCCATCTGTGACTAAATACAGTTTTCTTTCTTTCTTTCCCATCTCTATATCTTTTAATTTCTTTTTCTTGTCTTACTGCACTTGCTATGATGTTAGTACAATGTTGAATAGAATTAGTTACAGAATAGCCTTGCCTCATTCTCAATCTTCGGGGAAAAGCACTTAGTCTCTTACCATTAAGTTTGATGCTAGCTGTATATTTTTTGTGATGTTATTTGTTAAATTGAGGAAGTTCTCTACTCCTAATTTACTATTAATTTTTTTTAATCAGATGAGGGTTTTAAATATTGCCAAATGTTTTTCTGCATCAATGGCTATGATCATATGATTTTTCTTCTTTAGTCTATTGACATGGTAGATTCTACTAACTGATTTTTGAATGTTGAATAAGCCTTGAATCCTTGGAATAAATGTCACTTGGCTATGGCATATAATTCTTTTTATACATTGTTGGATCATGATGCACTGTTAAAAAATTTGGAGGATACAACAATGAATAAAACCATCTCCTACCTTAAACAATCTTATAGTCAATTAGAGGGAAATAAACAGATAGACACACACACTTAACTATAATCCAAGCCAGAGCATAGCAAGTGTTCTAAAAGAGGGAAAAAAATCTTACAAGTTTTTAATGGAGGGGAAGATAACATCTTGTTTGGAGGAGTTAGGAGGAACTACTATATATATATTTATTTCTTTCTTTTCTTTTTTACATTTCTCTAACACTAGGACCTAGGAGGCACTGATACATAAAATCTGGCTAATATAAAATCAAAAATTGAGGCCTGGAAGCAAACTCTAATAATCGAATTCAAACCTTTCTCTTCTTTTATTAATGAAGCAGCACACAATCTACTTCTCTGTAGAACCAGGATTTGATCTCGGATACCTCATCCTTTTGTCAGTTAGCCTTACTTTGCCTCACACAGTCACCCACTTAAATTGGAAACATGAATCTGTTTTACTTGGTTTTTAAATTGCTTATTTAGAAAATGAGCATGACTTTTCCTTTGAATTTCCTCATTCCTTCAATAAAAAGAAAACTGGAGGTACTAGGTGGGTATGGAATTGCCTAATTTTGCAATTGAGTAACTCCATCGTGTTCTGGTGTCTCAGACCCATAAAGCCAAACAAAGAAAACATAATCCCCATCTGCTACAATCTGTAGTTACCCTGCTCCCCGCGAGGGAGGCGATTCCCAGCTGATACAGCCATTACTGTATGTTGTCTGTATGGACTTGCTTTTAACATGTGAGTTACCTTTTTTTTTCCCAGGATTTGAGCCACATTTTTTTTTTTTTCACAGAAAAACTCACAGAGGAACTTAAGTGGAAGTTCACCTGTGTTTGTTCTTTGCAATTTCAAGAGATAACATTCACATTGCCCTAAGGACATTATAAATAAGAAATTTGCAGTGGCTTATTTCAACAAAGGTGTGATTTTTAAAGTTGTTCAAGATGAGAACAGCAGGTGTCAAAGTTTATTGATGATAATCAGATTCTTATATCATAGCCATGTACAATAATGGATGGATATTTCTATTTATCTCATATAGAGAATGCATTTTCTGAAATTATTATAATAATGAAGATAATAATAGTGGCTAGTATTTATACTTTATCTAAAAATGGTCCTGTACTTTATGTAGATAATTTATTTATTTAATCCCCTCAACCACCCCATGAATTGGGAATTGTTAATATCATCCCTATTTTAGAGAATTAACTTTGCGTTAAAACAGATAATTAACTTGCTGAAGGTCGCACAGTTAGTAAGTAGCAAAGCCAATATTTAAGCTGTACTCTGTCTGACACTGGTCCTTATGTTTTCATCATGGTGCTCTAACTAGTGCCTCTTATTGGCTATCCTTGGTTATCCCAAGTCCTTGGACAACACTCATCCATTTCAAACACACACACATACTCTCTCTCTCTCCTCTCTGTCTCTCTCTTTCTCTCTCTCTCTCTCTTTCTTTCTCTCGCTCTCTTTCTCACTCTCTCATCCTAGCGGATTCTTCCAATTTTCCTAACATTCAAATGACTTTACAACCTGCTTCCTCTCTATGACGACTTCCCCACAGGAACCCTTCAAACCAGCCAAAGGACTCACTTCATTTCTTCCCTCTCCGTGAAGTTTACCTTACCTTTGCTCAAAGAGCTCCCTTCAGCTGCAATGCCCACCCCCACCTCCTCACCAACTGTCTACATTTTAGCTGGGTCAGCTCAAAAGAAAAATTTCCAAGGATAAAAAGAAGATAGGCAGTGGGTGGCTGAGCCCAAGGTGAAATAAAATAATGTTTTCTTTTATTGATTTACCAATGTTTGTCTTTTAATTTCTGGAGAGCCTCTATTGCATGCAAAAATGTTAATAGGAGTTGAAGGTCTTTTATTCATACAGTTCCAATCTATTCTGCAAATCAAAAGCAGTGAAAATGATTCATACATGAATAATTCCCCCAAACCTTTGCTTATTGAAATGGATCAGAGATAATTACTAGGTTGGAGAATTTGCATCCACACAATTTTCTGGTCTCACAAACATAATTTTCTTTAGAATGAATAGAAAATATTTGCTCTTTTAAAAGCTGTTGTGAATTGTGATGCTGTTTTTCCTGTATCTGCAGAAATGTGGCTGTACCATCTGCAGCTGCTATTCCTCATAGCTGGGGATTTTTGTCTGCCCCCTGGTCTCCACCATTGTGGAGTTTAGCTGGTTTGTTTTAAAACTCTTATCTGTATTCATCTCAGTGTGGAGATCTGCGTGTTCTGTTGGTCATTACATCCAATAAGATGAAGTCAGTGAAATCTTAAGTTTGGGTGTTTATAATTTCTTCCTGCAAAATGACTTCACATTCACACGCAAGTTGGGAGGATAAGAGTAATCTGTCACACTTCAGGGATTTATTTGACCACTGAACATTTAGTATTTAGCTGAGAGTCACAGGAAATTTTAATGGGAGTTGCTCTGAGAAAGGGGTGGGGACGAAGGCTTTTTGTCTGTGATCCTTCAGAACCATCTGGAATACACATGAGATTTGTTTTCTGCCATTGTCTCTCCAAACCATCAGGCTGTTGTTCCAGGTGTGTGAAGTGCATGTGTGGCTTAGGTTTAATACTTGCTTTTCATTATGCCCAGCAGCTTGGTCCTTTATTCTCTGAGGGATGTGTTTTCAATACCGCAGGAGATTTCTTTATGCCCAACCAAATGAATCTTTACAAACAACTCAACTGGTGTAAGGCCTCAGGTGGGCTTAAGGGACCCACAAGAACAAGGTTTATGTGTAGGCACAGGGGGTATTCAAATGCGGCATTATATTAAAGGCATTTTGAATTTCTCTGTTCTGGTTTTCTAGAAAAAGAAGCACTGCTCCTTCTGAGAATAAACAAGAGATTCCAGGGTTCCTTGAACTCTGTTGGAAAAAGAAAAACCTAGGCGTGTGAAAGACATGAAATAATGTAAATATGGAAATTTTGGAAAAAGAGAGGAGGAATAAAGAAAACATTTTGTAAAAAAATTAAGAAATAGATAAGGAAAAAATAGTGATGTCTATTGATGAATTTCCATAAATTGATGAAATGTTTGTATTGCTTAGGGTTAACATATTATCTTTTAAGTAGCAAGAAAAAAAGGCACTTAGCAGAATGAATGAATGAATACAGCTGCATATGACAATATGGGTGAATTTTAGGAATATAGTTTTATGTGAAAAAGTCTCTATAGCTTATATCTTACATGATACTTTAAATAATTATTCTTTATTTTGAAATATAACACACTAAAAGTAGAGAAAGATACTCTTTATAGTAACTTAAAAATAAAAACAAAAGTATATATTATTAATAAATACATCTAAGTGTAATAAAACTATATCAAAAGAACAATGAGGCAACAACAAACACAAGATTTAAGGTGGAAGATAGAATAGGATGGACAAAGATATTATATGGATGTAAGTTGCTGTCATCATTTTTGTTTTCTGTTGGGTGGTAATTTTACAATTGTTCATTATATTATTAAAACCAACAAGCAACAAACAAAAGAGAGTCTTTTATGTACAAGTGATGGAAGCCTGTTATGAATTTGGAATTATGATTAATGCAGTTCTATGCACTTGAGAACCAATAAGAAATAATTTGTCAAATAAAACAGGAAAAGAAATATTTGCTCTTTGAGAAACATCCTCCAGGTATGGCTGTTCCTATACTGTGTATGTCCTTTCCCCTCAATATTGGATGTTGATTACCCTCCTTGCCTTTAAATGCAGGTTTATGTAATAAGTGGATCTCTAGAGAACTCTCAATTCCACCAGCAAGCATTAGCCTTTTGGAAGCTACTGAATCCTTGCTGCAGAAAAATATTGAGAAAGTAATTTGTTCTCACATGTTCCAGGCGAAAGTGCCCTCTGCTTTCAAGCATTGGAGTGGCAGGTCCCACTTAAAACATCCCTATCTATACTAGAGCTCAAAGTGCCTGTTTCCACCTCCAGAAAGAGGATAATGATAAGAGCAAACATTGGAATGGATAACTTGAATTTACAAGCCGGATTAACATTCCTCCCTGCCTCCCCACAAACTTTCTAAATTGTAGAACTTTTTTTTTATACTTTAAGTTTTATGGTACATGTGCACAACATGCAGGTTTGTTACATATGTATACATGTGCCATGTTGGTGTGCTGCACCCATTAACTCTGCATTTAACATTAGGTATATCTCCTAATGCTATCCCTCCCCACTTCCCCCACCCCACAACAGTCGCCGGTGTGTGATGTTCCCCTTCCTGTGTCCATGTGGCAATTCCTCAGGGATCTAAAACTAGAAATACCATTTGACCCAGCAATCCCATTACTGGGTATATACCCAAATGATTATAAATCATGCTGTTATAAAGACATATGCACACGTATGTTTATTGCAGCACTATTCACAATAGCAAAGACTTGGAACCAACCCAAATGTCCAAAAATGATAGACTGGATTAAGAAAATGTGGCACATATACACCATGGAATACTATGCAGCCACAAAAAGTGATGAGTTCATGTCCTTTGTAGGGACATGGATGAAGCTGGGGACCATCATTCTCAGCAAACTATCGCAAGGACAAAAAACCAAGCACTGCATGTTCTCACTCACAGGTGCGAATTAAACTGTAGAACTTTTAATCCTGACTCATTACATTGATTATTTTTATTAATTGTTGCAGGTTGGGTTTCCTGGGAAACAGACTGAAATTGAGATTTCTAGGCAGGTAGGTTATTGGGATGTGCTCTTGAGCATACGGTCTATAAGGATGTGAGGAAAGCAGGATTGGGCAGAGGGAGAGGCTGAACTGTGACGTAGTTGCAACAGAGGCCTCAACCAATGTCACAGTGCACTGTGAAGCAGGAATAGTTCCTCAGAGATGTCCCAAATTTAGGCAAGGGGAAAGAGCTTTTGAAGATTCCTTTTTGTAGGGCTGTCCCTATCCGAGGCTGCTTTCGGAGGTGATTTTCCTGTCATAATTTTCTTTCCGATCCCTTCTCCCTACACCCTTCCCCCGGGTGAGGCTATAGTGCAATAGCAGCCAATTTTTGGCTGGCACACACATACTGAGCCAGTACACCTGTGAACTAAGCTTGGACTTTTTTCGCCTCTGTCCTTTGGTGTATGGCACCACCTGCTATAGGTGTCAGCTGAAGGAGAGGCAAGTTTGCAACACTGCTGAGCTATGATCGTACCACTACACTCCAGCCTGGTGACAGAGCAAGATGCTGAAAAAAGAAAGAGGAAAGAGAAAGAAAGAAAGAAAGAAAGAAAGAAAGAAAGAAAGAAAGAAAGAAAGAAAGAAAGAGAGAAAAGAGAATTTCTGTGACCTCAAAACAGGTAGAGATTTCTCCCCAGCAAGCAAGCAAGCAGTTTTGCAGTGTATGCCAGCAGAGTGTCCTCTAATTCAATTGCAACATCGTCTACCTGGAGATAGTGTCAGATCCCACAGGTTGAGAGCTAGGTCCCCAAGACTGCCCCCATCTTCAGAAAAATGTTGTAAATCCAGGCCTCTGGAACTTCTGACCAACAGGCTTCAAACTGGGGTTCCTATGCCACCCACTTTGGTTTTGATTAATTTACTGGAGCAGGTGACAGAACTCAGGGAGACACTTATTTGCATTTACCAGTTTATCACAAAGGTTATGAAAAAGGATAGATTAATATATGCTTAGAGTGAGGTATAGGGAAAGAAGCACAGAGCTTCCATGCCTGCCCTGGCCACGCCACCCTTCAGGAACTTCCACTTGTCCAGCTATTCAGAAGCTCTCCAAACTCTGTTGCCTTGGGCCTTTTATGGAGACATCATTGGGTAGGAGTGACTGACAGTCATATAGAAATATGACTGGACAAAAAGGTATGACCTAAACCCAGCAAGATCTGTCTGTACAGATTCTTCTTGGCATTTCTGTGCAGCATTCCTTCCTCCAGGATATGGAGCAAGACACCCTCTGGAATGAGGGTCTTATGACCCATAGTCAGATTAGAGTCCTGCCTTAGGTAAAAGGAGGGCAGGAAAAAGTCACAGAGAGAGATTCCGTTTCTAAGACCTGCTTCTGATGCCTCAAGTGCCCCAACATTATAAAAACCTATACATGTGTATAATATCACACTGACCTAAGGATCTTTTGATGAAAGATTGGAAGAACTATTATCATGTTTATTTGCCAGAGTTTGCAAGGCTCTTTCTCACCATATTTCTCTCTAGGCTACATTACACTTTAAAATTATAATAAAATGGGAAATTCCTAAAACACACTAAAGAGTTTCGCAGTCCATTTATTCCCTATCAAATAGAATACCACGCAATATTGAGATGTTTTATTGCTGCTTCAGCCCTTTGCCTGAGGTGGGATCCTTTACTTGTTGAAGGATGTTGGGCCATGAAGTGATATGATCCTCTCAGGACTGGGGATAGACTATCACAGAGATTCTTGAACCCTCCAACTGAGTCTCTGCTGTCTTAAAGTGCTTACCTCCCAAAGGAGGTGATTTATGACCTCTTTTTGTTAACTTTCCTTGGGCTGCCTAATTCAAGCAAATGCTTTATGTAACCTGGTAGTCTACCAGCAGTTATTTTATTTGGATAACTTTTATTAGACAGGACAATACAGGCAAAGTTTCTAACTTTCCTCAAGAAGAAACCCAAAGACTAGATTATTGCATAATTTAAAAAATATGTACAAAAATGTATAAAACAAAGAAAGTAATAGGAAATTTGCAAATATATATTCTCTTCCTTTGTTGCAATGTGTAGCTTATTTCCTGGGAAAGGAGCCCACAAATCTTACAGCAATAAATCTTAGTCCTGTCCCAATCCATTCATTCCATTTCCTTCTCATGCATAGAATGACAGTTATATGACTGTAAGAAGACATTCACTCATTAACAAATATTTGTTGAGAGTCTACAATCACCTGTGCATTTCCCCAAGTGTCAGGAGATACTTTTGTTCACAAAAAAGTTCCAGCTGTCATGGAGCTTACATTCTGGTGAGGGGAGGCAGTCAACAAATAAGCATATATGCGAAAGGGTGGTAAGTGCTCTGGAGAAAAATAAAGCAAGGATGGAGGAAAGGGCTTTCTGGAGCTGCACGTGGTTGTAATTTTAAGGAAAATAGTCTGGAGATGACTCAATAAAAGTGTAATATTAAAAATTATCTGTGTGAAGGTGTCAAGGAGTCTGAAGGTCCCATGAAGAGGATTCTTCTAAGCATCTCCCCTAATACCTAAATTAGTAGCAAATTGGGACCAAAACCCAGGTATTGAGGTCCTCTGTCCCATGCTTTTCCCATTTTGTGACACTGTAAGAAGGACTCATAAGGGATTCACTGAAGCACTATATCAAGCAATGTGGTGAAGCTGCAAACTGTTGGCAAACAGGAGTGGCAAACAAATTAGCCTAACAAGTCCTTATTGATTACCTACTGTTCAGAGAAGATTACCAGTCCCCCAGGGAGCTCAGAGGAATACACACTGGATTTCCTGCCTCCAAAAAGCTGACAACATGCGGTGGGGGTGGGAGCAAATCATAAACAAGTAAAGCAGATGTTTTGAGGATACCAACTGAACAGTGCAGATGCAAAAATACAACCAGGGATGCTCTTAGGACAGTGTCTTTTGCCAGAATCCAAATGACATTCTTCACAGGCTTGCTGAGTGAAAGAGAATCCCGCTTACTCACTTTCTTTTCAGCCTTGCCCACATATGTGGATTATCATACTGTCAATGGCATAATCTAATAAGAAGGATGGCAATATATTGTCTTTTGTTAGCTGGCTGAAACCCAAGGACTGTGGCTGTTGAATACAGAAGGGCAGACAGAGAGAAGTTTCATGCTGTCCTGTAATTGCAAAGTGGACTTATATTTGACAGTCCTTTACAGAACAGCATCTATTACCTGTGGATAAGTTGGGATGGTACATTTTAAAATAATATGGAATACACCTACTGGTACAATGTGTTACTGATTAGATCTAGCAGAGGGAGAACTTACATCAGGCACAGTGACTTAACTAATTGGACTACAGAAATAAAACTGCCATTAAATTCAGGAGTGGTAAGTCTGTCAATATATTTGGGAAAGCAAGTAGTTGTTTTAGAGGTCAGGTTTTACACTGCCTGAAGAATAGGGGCTAGAAACCAGGCATTATATTACCAGCCTGTGCTGTGTACCACGGTGCCAGAAATAACACATAGACAACTCTGAAGGTATTAAAAAGTAGTTCCAGCTAAAAGCAGAAATGTTCAGAAATAGATATATCTATTCAGAAATAGATATATCTATTTTACAGCAAACCAGGCTGTTTATTTGATCAAACAAGTCATTTAAGGAAATTTTCAGCCAAATCAGCTATTTATCCTTGTATTGTCATAAAAACTTATAATTAAGATGCCCTGGTATTTGTTTTTGATACTTTAAAAGAACTCAGTCTCAGTTTTCAAAATATATTTTTGTTATTTTAGCTTCACTTTCTTCCTCAGTTTTAAAGAAAATATACATTTAAAATATTTCATTTTATTGCCCATTTGAACAATTCCCCTTTCATCATGTTTCTTGTCTAGTAGGAATTATCAAAAGGAAAAAGCGAAGTGGCTATATTCAAGCTTACATAAAGCATTTGCTGGAAGGTGGTAAGAACCTAATATTTGGGATTTTAAGCTTAACTCCATCTTTGATTTTGTGCTTATTCTCCAATAACATAAAATGAACCAATTGGGCATTCCTACAGAAAAATAAATACATTTAATTTGTATATACTATTTGTACATATGCTTATATATATTATATATACAGGTATATGATTTTACATATGCATATATATGATTTTTTACCATATCACACATTACTCACTTGTGGGAGGTTTATGGTCTACTAGGTTTCCCTATTATTAAATTAAGTGCCTGCCTTTTAAAGTCTTTTAAAAAAGTCTTTTAAATTCCTGAAACTGTTCATTTGAATTAAGTATAGCATGTTGGACTTTGGAAACTTCAGTTAATTGTTTGAAGGTAATCTATTACAGGTCTCAGAAAAGGGGGTTTCCGACTGCATTCAGATCCGGTCAGCTTCAAAAAAGACTTATCTATGTTTTATGGAATCAGGAATCATCAAAAGACTCGGTTTATTCTAATTCCTTATAGGTTTTGGATTTGTAGGTAATCAGAAAGACCAGCTCTACCACCTCTAAAATTGTCTTAATTAACCATGGTGAGTTGAAATAAAGGATTGTTTTGGCCTCTCCTGTTGAGTCACTCTCTCTACTTAGCAAGTAGAGGGAGGTAGCTTGGTGGCCAAGTCAGGGGCTGGTTAGAAGTAGAATTAGGCTGTGTTGTAATTAACAAGTGATAATCAACATGTTTAGCTGTGGCATGTTGCTGGTGGTGAGTGTGTTATGAACTGGAAAAAACTGTTGCTTACGGTGGTGGTAGTGTGGGATCAGAGAGTTGGTTAGGGGAAGACACCAACATCAATCCTAAAAGTGACTGTCCAGCAATTCCTCCCTTCCTCCACCCCCAATTGCCTAGAATGGAGTGATGGGCGTGGGCATAGTATAGGGCTATGGCATCACAGCCAAGTAAGAACCTTTTTATTTATTTTTTCTCTATTCTCTTTTATTAAGGCTTTGGAAAATAAGTGGTGGATTTCAAGTTAATCCAAGGAACCAAGAACCCTGCTGAAGGCTTGAAAAAATGATGTTGTGGTTTCCTAAAAGAAAAAGAGGTGAACCCAGGGAAATGCATGAGGGGCTGAACCATTGTTACTAGGACAGACACGAAGAATATTCAAAAGAGGGAGATATTGGCGACACCAGGAGTTTTCACTTCTGATGTCAATAGCTTAGTTAATGTAATTTGTATTTTCTCTTAAAGAAACTTTCTTTTTCTCCCTAGTAGACTTGGAATAATAGTGATAGCAGGAAGATTGGGTAGGCTCTTCCTATCCCATATTTTAAGTCTTTCTGAGCTGGCAGGATGAAGGTGGAGACAGGAAAGGGTTTGTAAAGTTAAACATTATAGCTAAGTAATTATTCCACAGAGCTAATTAATTTGAAAACTTGTAGAACACACTTATGTGATTGTTATAGGAGAGTGCTAGTCCACTAAGCCAATGAAGAAGTATCATCACCAGCATCACGAGTGAAAAGTTGACAGAGACAGAGACAGAATGGCATACGTATTTCATCACTAATTTTCTCCCAGAATACTATTTTACCAGCATCATGCTATAGTTTAGTTCAAGAAATGGGCCTTTGGAAACTTTGAACTTATATTATTTATAACATGCAATGGGGGAAATTGCCTGGATGAAAGAATAACACAGAACTGTCTTAACCATATTGTGAGTCTCTCTTCCATACTCACCTAGTCACAGCAACACTTTGGTTAAGATTGTGAGTGGGCATATCGTTAGGGGGAAGGTGAGGGGAGTCAAAATCAGGCAGGGCTATGGAAAAAGTTCGTGACTTGGGAGAGGGAGGAAAGAATGTACGAGCATAAGTTAATAATTGCTAATGCTTGCTAAGCAGTATTCTCAGTGTTTTATGCATATTAACCCATTTCATCTTTCTAACAGCAATATAGTGTAAACACAGTAGGCAGTATATGCATAATCTCCATTTTCCATATGCCAAAGTAGGCACAGAGAGGATAACAAACTTGCCCATAATCACACAGCTTGTAAATGGTAGAGTCAGGATTAGAAGCCATGAAATCTGGTGCCATAGTCTAAAGTCTTAGCCACTACACTAGACTGCTATGAAGCAGCAAGGTAAGGATGTGGGTGAAAGGCTAAGACAGTGGATCTGTCCTAGGATAGAGACAATGGAAGATGGGTCAGAGATGAGCCCAGCAAGGGTGCAATATATATCCATCTCTCAGGGCTGTCATATACAGGATTCTTGCCCAGGCAAAAAAATTGCATCCGAGGGCCCCCCAGGTCCCTCCTGACCCCAAGGTCCTTGGACCCTATAATGGACTGGGAAGACAAAATAATGCAATCTAAAGTGAACAGGGGCTGGTGAAGTGGGTGGGAAGTATGTATTGGAGGTGTCAGGCAGAAATTATGGTCAGGAATAAGTGACTTGCAGATTTTATATTCACAGAAGTCTTATTCTCTGTGCATGAATCTTTCTCAACCACCCCTGGCAAGGAGTTAAAAGACCCTGCTGAAAATGCCAACTCCAGGGAGAGCTCCGTGTTTTCTGTTCCAGGTATTTTGCATAGCTCCAATGGTCACCAACTGCCTCTTTGCTTTTAACAGTGATTGGTCTCCCTGAAACCTCTAGCTGCTGGTTTTGGCTCCACTTCTCAGGATCATCAAAACAAGTCTAATTAATTTTCTATGCCATGGCCTTTCAAACTTTCAGTTCTGTTTTTTCTGGTAAATCCTTCCCAGTTTCTTGGGTTTTCTTCCCCATGTGAAATGATGTAAGGTCTTTTATCATTCTGGTAGTTTTCTTTGGAAAAGTCTCTAGTTTGGCAGGAGTCTTTGGGAATGTGGTACCTGAATTGAACTTAACACATTAAGTGTGGTTTGACCAGCATGAATTAGAGTGAGACAATCACCTCTTTCCATTTGGACTTCATTAACGAAGGCTGAAGTCTCATTAACTCCTGGACATCTCTTTACACAGTGGACTTCTAGTGAGCATGAGGTCAATGAAAACTCACAAGTCATGTTTATTCATGCATTTCTCATCCTACACTTAAACTTCTTTTAAACTAAGGACATGACATTACCTTTTTGTGTGATATATTTCATCAGTCAGGTTTTAGCCCATTGTTTAGTGTGTTTTGGATATTGATTCTGTCACACACCAATTAACCATTCCTCCACATTTTGTTTTATTCAAAGTCTGGTCAATCTGACATCAATATCCTCATCTGAATTATTAAAACACATGGTGAAGAGGCAGATCAGAGCCTTGTGATATGATTCCAGGGAACTTTCATCAGAAGCTGCTTTCCTCTCTCTTCTGAAAGATAAAGCTCTCTATAAGCCAGAATAAACAGTTTTTTCTTAAATTTTAGCTTTTTCCTGAATTTTAGCTAAAAAGAGTCCTTGCAGGTGTCTAACTCCTATGGCTTCTCCATCTTACCTCTGTGCCTGTGGATGAATGTGACTCTGGGATGAATCACCTAGTTGTATGTGGGTTTGTGGGTCCTGGGTGAGGTCCCTTTGGTGGTGTGTGCCTTTGGACCTCTGGATGAATAATCACAACTGCTAAATTGATGGGACTGTGGGCCTTAGCTTTTCTTGCCAATTTGTGAGTTCTCCAAAGGAGGGTTGGAGGGCAGCCCCACAGGAAAATCTCTTCAAAGTACACTCTCCCCTTTGCTGTTCCTGGGCCCCCAACACTTTAGTGCTCCCTGAGAATACTCAATTACCTTAAAATCATTTTCAGCCTCAGATGCCCTTGGGCATTGACACTCTTTAAGGCAACAGCTAGAAATTTCCCTCTAAACTTGGTTTGGGGCTTTCTCACATTCCTCCTGCAGCGTCCATTAGAAGAGGGTCCCTCAGCAATAGTGACAAAATACTTCTTGCTTTTCCACCCAGCTTTTTTTTTTCAACCAGCTTGCAGCATGCTGAGGGGAAAGGGGGAAGAGGAAACTTTGTTGGGCTTCTGTGTTTCCAAGCGCAACCCCACACTGCCCCATCCAGATGTCCTTTTGGCATTTGTACTCCTTGTAAAGACTTTTTTTTCACTCTGTTTTCCATATCCATTAATGCAACCTGGTTTCCACTAAACTGTCTTGAAATATATCACTCTTGTCAGCTGTTTTATGATTCCCCACAGGAATCTTTCATTCCAAGCAAATCAAGAGATGTATACAGACCTCTTTTCAGAACACCAAGTATTCTGAGACATGTATAGAGGACTCATCTTCCCAGATTCTAGAGAGAACCTCTAGATGGGCACTGTCCAGTAGAAATATACTGTGAGCCACAAATGTAAGGCATGTTGATAATTTTAGTTTTTCTTATAGACACCTTTTAAAAAGTAAAGGTAGAAAAGTGACATTAGTTTTAATATTTTTATTTATCTCAAATACCCCAAATGGTGTCATTTTAACATGTAATCAGTATAAAAGTTATTGAGATACTTTGCCTGATTTTTTCCTTTTTTTCTTCAAAATTCAGTGTATATTTTACACTTACCACATATTTTAATTTAGATCAGCCATATTTCAAGTGCTCAGTAGTTACAAGTGGCTAGAAGCTACCATATTGGATGGAACAGCTCTGTACTGTGGTTTAATTCAGTTTTTATCTATGCCCTACTTATCCAACTTCCAACTGATTAATGAGGAATCCTAGAGACTTCTCCCAAAGTGATGTACTTTTTCTTCTTGCTGTTTATCTAAATTCAATTGATCTAGCCCAGAATTCCATCTTTAGGCTCAGAGTTTTCAGGTAATCATATCTTTTAAATTTCCATCACAATGCCATGTCACCTTTCTCCACATGTAAAAAAGAAGTCTTTCATTGCTCTTTACAACCAATAATTTCATACCAACAAATATAAGTTTGCTAGGGTTGCTGTAACAAAATACCATACACGGAGTGGCTTAAACAACAGAAATTTATTGTCTCACTGTTCTGGAGACTAGATGTTAAGATGAAGGTGCTGACAGGGTTGGTTCCTTCTAAAATCTGTGAAGAAGAATTTGTTCCTTCCCTTTTCCTAGCTTCTGGTAATTTTCTGGCCCTCTTTTGTGCTCCTTGAAATACAGAAGCATCACCCAGATCCCTGCCTTCATCTTCACATGGTGTTCCCTCTGTGTGCCCCTGTTTCCAAATTCCCTCTTTTTAAAAGGACATCAGTCATATTGAATTAAGGGCCCACCTTACTCCAATATGCCTTCATGTTAATTAATTACATCTGCAATGATCCTATTTCCAAATAAGGTCACATTCTGAGGTACTGGGGGTGAGGGCTTCAACATATAATCTTTAGAGGAATACAACTCATCCCATAACATGTGGTGAACATGTGATGTGCTGCCCAGACCCCTGTTACCTGTGGAAATAGTGCTGGGAAAGGGTCTGCAGCTATCAAACCTCTTTGGGATTAACTCAACCGAAGAAAATTGCCTTGCCCAAGATCTGGGCCCCTTCCAGAGCAGCCTGTCTCCAGTGACTGATCAACCAGGAGGTATAATTTCTCAGCCCCGTTGTCACAACTTGAGATAACACAGAAGAGCCATCCCAGCTCCAGAGCTCCCTGTAGATTCAAATGAGGCCTTCATTGGGACTGCATCAGAACGACCAACTTCCCCCTTTGCCTAATCTTGCTTTCTTCCCCTCCCTTCCACCGGTGTTGATCCTAAGAGCATTCCCTGAAAAACCTCCTGCAGCTAATCACAACCTGAGTCAGCTTCCAGTTTGTAACACAATGTAGCATATGTCACAAACTCCTAAAATTTCAAAAAGTCTTGCTCATGAGTCATTTTCTGAGCATACCTATAGAGCTAGTCTGGGCCACAGATGATTTTTTCTATTACTTTACTTGGTATTTTCCACTGCAAATTGCTGACTATATTAGTCTCTTATCCTGCCTTCCTAAAGTACTTCATAGCATTAGGTTTTATCATAAAAGTGTGTGGATAGTTGATGGAAAAATACTGTATAAGGAGAGTGTACAAGTCCATTTTCACACTGCTATAAAGACATACCTGAGACCAGGTAATCTATAAATAAAAGAAGTTTAATCTAATCACAGTTCTACATGGCTGGGGTGGCCTCAGGAAACTTATAATCATGGCAGAAGGAGAAGGAGAAGCTAGTACCTTTTTCACAAGGAGGCAGGGGCAGGGAACTCCCTCACACTTTAAAACAATCAGATAGTGAGTGAGAATTGCAAGTCTGAAAAACAGCTGGGCAGTCATTAAATCTTAAAGCTCCACAATAATCTCCTTTGACTCCATGTCTCACATCCAGGCCACACTGATGCAAGCGGTGGGCTCCCACAACCTTGGGCAGCTCCACCCCATAGCTTCTTTCACAGGCTGGTGTTGAGTGCCTGTGATTTTTCCAGGCTCACCATGCAAGCTGTTGGTGGACCTACCATTCTGGGGTCTGGAGGACGATGGCCCACTTCTCACAGCTCCTAGGCAGTGCCCCAGTAGGGTCAATGTGTGGGGCTCCAACCCCACATTTCCCCTCTGCATTGCCCTAGTAGAGGTCCTTCATGAACGCTCCACCCCAGCATCAGACTTCTGCCTGGACACGGAGGCATTTCCATACATCCTCTAAAATCTAGGTGGATGTTCCCAAACATCAACTCTTGTCTTCTGTGCACAGGCCCAACACCATGTGAAAGCTGTCAAGGCTTGGAGCTTGCACCCTCTGAGGCAATGGCCCAAGCTGTACCTTGGTCCCTTTTAGCCATGGCTGGAGCTGGAGTGACTGGGGTGCAGGACACCATGTCCCGAGGTGCTGCATAGAGCAGTGGGGCCCTAGGCCTAGCCCACAAAACCATATTTCCTTCCTAGGCCTCTGGGCCTGTAATGGGAAAGGCTGCTGTGAAGATCTCTGAAATGTCCTTGAGACTTTTTCTCCATTGTCAGGTTACTTATGCAAAGTTTGGCAGCCAGTTTGAATTTCTCTCCAGAAAATGGGTTTTTCTTTCCTACCACATGGTCAGGCTGCAAATTTTCCAAACTTTTATACTCTGCTTCCCTTTTAAACATAAGTTCCAATTTCAGATCATCTCTTTGTGAACATATATGACTGTACACATTCAGAAAGAGCCAGGTCATCTCTTGAATGCTTTGCTACTTAGAAATATCTTCTGCCAGATACCCTAAATCATCTCTCTCAACTTCAAAGTTCCACAGATCTCTAAGGCAGGTGCAAAATGCTGCCAGTCTCTGCCAAAGCATAGCAAGAGTGATCTTTCCTCCAGTTACCAAGAAATTCCTCATCTCCATCTGAGACCACCTCAGCCTTGTCTATATCACTATCAGCATTTTGGTCAAAACCATTCAACAAGTTTCTAGGAAGTTCCAAACTTTCCCACATTTTCCTGTCTTCTTCTGAACTCTCTAAAGCATTCCAACCACTGCCCATTACCCATTTCTAAAGTTGCTTCCACATTTTCAGGTGTCTTTATAGCAGTGCCCCAAATTCCCTGTACCAACTTTCTATATTAGTACATTTTCACACTACTATAAAGACATACCTGAGACTGATAACTTATAAACAAAAGAGGTTTAATTGACTCACAGTTCTGCACAGCTGGGAAGTCCTCAGGAAACTTGCAATTATGGTGGGAGGCGAAGGAGAAGCAAGTACCTTCTTCACAAGGTGGCAGGAGAGAGAGGGGCACTGCCTCACACTTTTAAACCATCAGACCTCATGAGAACTCACACACCGTCATGAGGGCATGGGGGAAACCACCCCATAGCCAATTACCTACCACCAGGTCCCTCTCTTGACCTATAGGGATTACAGTTTGAGATGAGATTCAGGTGGGGTCACAGAATCAAACCATATCAGAGAAAAAAGGTAGATTGGTGGAGAGCATGGCAGGAAGGAATACAAATACCAGTTTGTTAAAAACTGATCAGCTGGATCACTTTTTAAAAATGCCACTGGTGAAATAAAGCATAATTTTCTCTCTAAATTATTACACAAATTACATTTTAGGCTGATTTTCAACCCAGATGAAAAACTAAGATTTATACACCAAAAATGGTGGAGGATGCATGGGACAATAAAAAAACTTTTGAGGTGGTCAGACTCAGGTTCAGAAAGCAGCGCTGTCATTTTCCAGCAGTGGAACTTTCACCAGGTTACTTAATTTCTCTCACCTCTCATTTTCTCATCAAAGAATTGTAATACAATTGTGCAGACTAAAGAAAGTGTATACAGGACACCTAGAAGAGTCTTGGCTCATGATATCCTCAATAAATTGTATTTCTCTAATAATAATAATTACTTTACCTGGAAGTAGAATGATTATCTTAAGTGGCTTTTGCCTATATTTAATATGTATTCTAAAGTATGAATGTAACAATGTATAGATTATTCCAGAGACAATAAGATGTTGTAGCTAGTTAATACTTTTAAGATCCTTTTGCTGAAGTCATATTGATGCTAGCAGTGCCAGGATTTTGCTGAAGGATTGAAGTTCTGTGGAGTTTTGTTTTTTTTTTGGAGTGTTTCAAATAGCATCTTCACATCAAATTTCCTGAATTTTTACTTCAACAGTTTGCAGTGAAAGAAGTAAACTATCACTTGAAAATAATGTATTATACAAAATGTATTTCTAAGAAATGTGGATTTATTAAAAATTCTGTTAGCACTCCATCTGCTAGTAAGAAACATTATTTCATGTAAGTAGCTGTCTCAAGAATGGAAACTTTTCCATTAAGTGCTAAAGATTTTATATAGTACCAGAATATTAAAAATGGATTTCTAAAAGAACACCTAAAAGCACCAGTGACACAGCTTATTCTGCCTGTGTGTTCAGAATTAGAATAAAGCTTTTGATAATATTGTCAATGTGCTGAAATTATTATTAAAGGTCCTTAACCTTATTGTGGAACAGTTGAACAATACTTGTTTGTTCATCACAGAATTATGTAGGAAAGATTGTTGGGTTTCAAGGCTTTCAGGTGCTTTTTTTCCCTTTTTATTTTTTTAAGCTAAAAGTGATGTTGGCAAAGACAAAGAGTAGAGTTACAAAAGCTGATGGTACCTGCTGAGGTAAGTTCTGATGTTATCGTTAATAGTGGTAAGAGTCTCTATCCATGGGTAAAATTTTTTCATACACATTATTTTTAAGTGAAGTACTTGCATAAAGTTGCTTTTTTCCTCTTGGAACTCACCCTTTGAGAGGTTGTACAATAACCTGTTATATAAATGTACAGTGGATATTTCAATAGTGGCTTATATTGCCTTAAGTGAGACACACGTGAGTTTCATCAAGGGCATTGCTGTATATAATGTGTTGTCACACCTCCGTGTGGGACTGGGCCTCGTAACCATTATATTTTTGGGAAAGTCACATTCTGATCCACCTCCCCACTTTACCTTATTTTTTGATTCCTTTAAAAATATTTAGAAAAACACAATAATGGTATAGTTGTATCAGCCAGTTGAAATTTTTAATTAAAAAATAAGTACAACATTCACATGTTTTGAAGTTTATAATAGAGTATTAATATAGATGTAATAGTATTAGCAATGTTTGTTTTTAAGCTGAGTAATTCTCAGAGATTTTATTGATATGCTTCAAAATGTACATATAGTCCTTTGTATGCATCCAATAACACACAAAAAGCAATATTTAACTCCCTCCCACTATTAAATAAACAAATAACAAAAAAGAAAAATAAAAAGTAAAATCCTCTTTTCTTTTTTTAAATTAAGTAAAATATGTTTTATATATTTATTTGTTAAAAAAATAACAGTAAGCCCATTATATGTTAACTTAACAAAACTTCCAAACAAAAAACATTGTCCCACTATTTTATATTTTTGAAAATCTCTAATATTTTCTTTTTTTTTTTATGAGTTAAAGTATGCTAAATTTTTTTTTTTATATACTTTAAGTTTTAGGGTACATGTGCAGATTGTGCAGGTTAGTTACATATGTATGCCTGTGCCATGCTGGTGCGCTGCACCCACTAACTCGTCATCTAGCATTAGGTATATCTCCCGATGCTATCCCTCCCCCCTCCCCCCACCCCACAACAGTCCCCAGAGTGTGATATTCCCCTTCCTGTGTCCATGTGATCTCATTGTTCAGTTTCCACCTATGAGTGAGAATATGCAGTGTTTGGTTTTTTTGTTCTTGCGATAGTTTACTGAGAATGATGATTTCCAATTTCATCCATGTCCCTACAAAGGACATGAACTCATCATTTTTTATGGCTGCATAGTATTCCATGGTATATATGTGCCACATTTTCTTAATCCAGTCTATCATTGTTGGACATTTGGGTTGGTTCCAAGTCTTTGCTATTGTGAATAATGCCGCAATAAACATACGTGTGCATGTGTCTTTATAGCAGCATGATTTATAGTTCTTTGGGTATATACCCAGTAATGGGATGGCTGGGTCAAATGGTATTTCCAGTTCTAGATCCCTGAGGAATCGCCACACTGACTTCCACAATGGTTGAACTACTTTACTGTCCCACCAACAGTGTAAAAGTGTTCCTATTTCTCCACATCCTCTCCAGGACCTGTTGTTTCCTGACTTTTTAATGATTGCCATTCTAACTGGTGTGAGATGGTATCTCATAGTGGTTTTGATTTGCATTTCTCTGATGGCCAGTGATGATGAGCATTTTTTCATGTGTTTTTTGGCTGCATAAATGTCCTCTTTTGAGAAGTGTCTGTTCATGTCCTTCACCCACTTTTTGATGGGGTTGTTTGTTTTTTTCTTGTAAATTTGTTTGAGTTCATTGTAGATTCTGGATATTAGCCGTCTGTCAGATGAGTAGGTTGCGAAAATTTTCTCCCATTTTGTAGGTTGCCTGTTCACTCTGATGGTAGTTTCTTTTGCTGTGCAGAAGCTCTTTAGTTTAATTAGATCCCATTTGTCAATTTTGGCTTTTGTTGCCATTGCTTTTGGTGTTTTAGACATGAAGTCCTTGCCCATGCCTATGTCCTGAATGGTAATGCCTAGGTTTTCTTCTAGGGTTTTTATGGTTTTAGGTCTAACGTTTAAGTCTTTAATCCATCTTGAATTGATTTTTGTATAAGGTGTAAGGAAGGGATCCAGTTTCAGCTTTCTGCCTATGGCTAGCCAGTTTTCCCAGCACCATTTATTAAATAGGGAATCCTTTCCCCATTGCTTGTTTTTCTCAGGTTTGTCAAAGATCAGATAGTTGTAGATATGCGGCATTATTTCTGAGGGCTCTGTTCTGTTCCATTGATCTATATCTCTATTTTGGTACCAGTACCATGCTGTTTTGGTTACTGTAGCCTTGTAGTATAGTTTGAAGTCAGGTAGTGTGATGCCTCCAGCTTTGTTCTTTTGGCTTAGGATTGACTTGGCGATGCGGGCTCTTTTTTGGTTCCGTATGAACTTTAAAGTAGTTTTTTCCAATTCTGTGAAGAAAGTCATTGGTAGCTTGATGGGGATGGCATTGAATCTGTAAATTACCTTGGGCAGTATGGCCATTTTCACGATATTGATTCTTCCTACCCATGAGCATGGAATGTTCTTCCATTTGTTTGTATCCTCTTTTATTTCCTTCAGCAGTGGTTTGTAGTTCTCCTTGAAGAGGTCCTTCACATCCCTTGTAAGTTGGATTCCTAGGTATTTTATTCTCTTTGAAGCAATTGTGAATGGGAGATCACTCATGATTTGACTCTCTGTTTGTCTGTTGTTGCTGTATAAGAATGCTTGTGATTTTTGTACATTGATTTTGTATCCTGAGACTTTGCTGAAGTTGCTTATCAGCTTAAGGAGATTTTGGGCTAAGAGAATGGGGTTTTCTAGATATACAATCATGTCATCTGCAAACAGGGACAATTTGACTTCCTCTTTTCCTAATTGAATACCCTTTATTTCCTTCTCCTGCCTAATTGCCCTGGCCAGAACTTCCAACACTATGTTGAATAGGAGTGGTGAGAGAGGGCATCCCTGTCTTGTGCCAGTTTTCAAAGGGAATGCTTCCAGTTTTTGCCCATTCAGTATGATATTGGCTGTGGGTTTGTCATAGATAGCTCTTATTATTTTGAAGTACATCCCATCAATACCTAATTTATTGAGAGTTTTTAGCATGAAGGGTTGTTGAATTTTGTCAAAGGCTTTTTCTGCATCTATTGAGATAATCATGTGGTTTTTGTCTTTGGCTCTGGTTATATGCTGGATTACATTTATTGATTTGCGTATATTGAATCAGCCTTGCATCCCAGGGATGAAGCCCACTTGATCATGGTGGATAAGCTTTTTGATGTGCTGCTGGATTTGGTTTGCCAGTATTTTATTGAGGATTTTTGCATCAATGTTCATCAAGGATATTGGTCTAAAATTCTCTTTTTTGGTTGTGTCTCTGCCTGGCTTTGGTATAAGAACGATGCTGGCCTCATAAAATGAGTTAGGGAGGATTCCCTCTTTTTCTATTGATTGGAATAGTTTCAGAAGGAATGGTACCAGTTCCTCCTTGTACCTCGGGTAGAATTCGGCTGTGAATCCATCTGGTCCTGGACTCTTTTTGGTTGGTAAGCTATTGATTATTGCCACAATTTCAGCTCCTGTTATTGGTCTATTCAGAGATTCAACTTCTTCCTGGTTTAGTCTTGGGAGAGTGTATGTGTCGAGGAATTTATCCATTTCTTCTAGATTTTCTAGTTTATTTGCGTAGAGGTGTTTGTAGTATTCTCTGATGGTAGTTTGTATTTCTGTGGGATCGGTGGTGATATCCCCTTTATCATTTTTTATTGTGTCTATTTGCTTCTTCTCTCTTTTTTTCTTTAGTAGTCTTGCTAGTGGTCTATCAATTTTGTTGATCCTTTCAAAAAACCAGCTCCTGGATTCATTAATTTTTTGAAGGCTTTTTTGTGTCTCTATTTCCTTCAGTTCTGCTCTGATTTTAGTTATTTCTTGCCTTCTGCTAGCTTTTGAATGTGTTTGCTCTTGCTTTTCTAGTTCTTTTAATTGTGATGTCAGGGTGTCAATTTTGGATCTTTCCTGCTTTCTCTTGTGGGCATTTAGTGCTATAAATTTCCCTCTACACACTGCTTTGAATGCGTCCCAGAGATTCTGGTATGTTGTGTCTTTGTTCTCGTTGGTTTCAAAGAACATCTTTATTTCTGCCTTCATTTCGTTATGTACCCAGTAGTCATTCAGGAGCAGGTTGTTCAGTTTCCATGTAGTTGAGCGGTTCTGAGTGAGATTCTTAATCCTGAGTTGTAGTTTGATTGCACTGTGGTCTGAGAGATAGTTTGTTATAATTTCTGTTCTTTTACATTTGCTGAGGAGAGGTTTACTTCCCAGTATGTGGTCAATTTTGGAATAGGGGTGGTGTGGAGCTGAAAAAAAAGTATATTCTGTTGATTTGGGGTGGAGAGTTCTGTAGATGTCTATCAGGTCCGCTTGGTGCAGAGCTGAGTTCAATACCTGGGTATCCTTGTTGACTTTCTGTCTCATTGATCTGTCTAATGTTGACAGTGGGGTGTTAAAGTCTCCCATTATTAATGTGTGGGAGTCTAAGTCTCTTTGTAGGTCACTCAGGACTTGCTTTATGAATCTTGGTGCTCCTGTATTGGGTGCATATATATTTAGGATAGTTAGCTCTTCTTGTTGAATTGATCCCTTTACCATTATGTAATGGCCTTCTTTGTCTCTTTTGATCTTTGTTGGTTTAAAGTCTGTTTTATCAGAGACTAGGATTGCAACCCCTGCCTTTTTTTGTTTTCCATTGGCTTGGTAGATCTTCCTCCATCCTTTTATTTTGAGCCTATGTGTGTCTCTGCACGTGAGATGGGTTTCCTGAATACAGCACACTGATGGGTCTTGACTCTTTATCCAACTTGCCAGTCTGTGTCTTTTAATTGGAGCATTTAGTCCATTGACATTTAAAGTTAATATTGTTATGTGTGAATTTGATCCTGTCATTATGATGTTAGCTGGTGATTTTGCTCGTTAGTTGATGCAGTTTCTTCCTAGTGTTGACGGTCTTTACATTTTGGCATGATTTTGCAGCGGCTGGTACTGTTTGTTCCTTTCCATGTTTAGTGCTTCCTTCAGGAGCTCTTGTAAGGCAGGCCTGGTGGTGACAAAATCTCTCAGCATTTGCTTGTCTGTAAAGGATTTTATTTCTCCTTCACTTATGAAGCTTAGTTTGGCTGGATGTGAAATTCTGGGTTGAAAATTCTTTTCTTTAAGAATGTTGAATATTGGCCCCCACTCTCTTCTGGCTTGTAGGGTTTCTGCCGAGAGACCAGCTGTTAGTCTGATGGGCTTCCCTTTGAGGGTAACCCAACCTTTCTCTCTGGCTGCCCTTAACATTTTTTCCTTCATTTCAACTTTGGTGAATCTGACAATTATGTGTCTTGGAGTTGCTCTTGTTGAGGAGTATCTTTGTGGCGTTCTCTGTATTTCCTGAATCTGAACGTTGGCCTGCCTTGCTAGATTGGGGAAGTTCTCCTGGATAATATCCTGCAGAGTGTTTTCCAACTTGGTTCCATTCTCCCCATCACTTTCAGGGACACCAATCAGACGTAGATTTGGTCTTTTCACATAGTCCCATATTTCTTGGAGGCTTTGCTCATTTCTTTTTATTCTTTTTTCTCTAAACTTCCCTTCTCACTTCATTTCATTCCTTTCATCTTCCATTGCTGATACCCTTTCTTCCAGTTGATCGCATCGGCTCCTGAGGCTTCTGCATTCTTCACGTAGTTCTCGAGCCTTGGTTTTCAGCTCCATCAGCTCCTTTAAGCACTTCTCTGTATTGGTTATTCTAGTTATACATTCTTCTAAAATTTTTTCAAAGTTTTCAACTTCTTTGCCTTTGGTTTGAATGTCCTCCCGTAGCTCAGAGTAATTTGATCGTCTGAAGCCTTCTTCTCTCAGCTCGTCAAAGTCATTCTCCATCCAGCTTTGTTCCGTTGCTGGTGAGGAACTGCGTTCCTTTGGAGGAGGAGAAGCACTCTGCGTTTTAGAGTTTCCAGTTTTTCTGTTCTGTTTTTTCCCCACCTTTGGGGTTTTATCTACTTTTGGTCTTTGATGATGGTGATGTACAGATGGGTTTTTGGTGTGGATGTCCTTTCTGTTTGTTAGTTTTCCTTCTAACAGAGAGGACCCTCAGCTGCAGGTCTGTTGGAATACCCTGCCATGTGAGGTGTCAGTGTGCCCTTGCTGGGGGGTGCCTCCCAGTTAGGCTGCTCGGGGGTCAGGGGTCAGGGACCCACTTGAGGAGGCAGTCTGCCGGTTCTCAGATCTCCAGCTGCGTGCTGGGAGAACCACTGCTCTCTTCAAAGCTGTCAGACAGGGACACCTAAGTCTGCAGAGGTTACTGCTGTCTTTTTGTTTGTCTGTGCCCTGCCCCCAGAGGTGGAGCCTACAGAGGCAGGCAGGCCTCCTTGAGCTGTGGTGGGCTCCACCCAGTTGTAGCTTCCTGGCTGCTTTGTTTACCTAATCAAGGCTGGGCAATGGCGGGCGCTCCTCCCCCAGCCTCGCTGCCGCCTTGCAGTTTGATCTCAGACTGCTGTGCTAGCAATCAGCGAGACTCCATGGGCGTAGGACCTTCTGAGCCAGGTGCAGGATATAATCTCGTGGTGCACCGTTTTTTAAGCCCGTCGGAAAAGCGCAGTATTCAGGTGGGAGTGACCCGATTTTCCAGGTGCCGTCCGTCACCCCTTTCTTTGACTCAGAAAGGGAACTCCCTGACCCCTTGTGCTTCCCAAGTGTGTCAATGCCTCGCCCTGCTTCGGCTCGCGCACGGTGCACGCACCCACTGACCTGTGCCCACTGTCTGGCACTCCCTAGTGAGATGAACCCGGTACCTCAGATGGAAATGCAGAAATCACCCGTCTTCTGCGTCGCTCACGCTGGGAGCTGTAGACGGGAGCTGTTACTATTCGGCCATCTTGGCTCCTCCGCCCTAAAATCCTCTTTTCATTCCTAGTCATTCTCTGTAAAGGTAACTACTATTTTGATAATTTCTAGTGTATCCTTTCTAAAAAAAGTTCTGTGCAACTAAAATTATACATTTTAAATAGTTCTTTTATTTTTTTAACTGTAAAGACAGAATATTGCTGCTAGACAGGATCTAGAGCTAGAAAATTTGGGTTGGAATTCTGTCTCCTCTGATGACCAGTTATACAACTTTGAATACGTTTTTAAATCTCTCTGTGCTTCAGTTCCTTCATCTGTAAAATGTGGCCAATACGCTTCAGAGGGCTGTTTTTAGGATTTAACGTATCATTTATGTAAAGCACATTCCTGGCACACAGCACTCAGCAAATGTGGTCTCCAATTAATATTTATATATTAAAAAAGATTATATTTTAACTCTTGTTTCAGTTAGCTTTGCGTGACTGTATTTATATATTCTTGTTTTTTAATCTTTTGTGAATCACATTGTTTTAGATGTCTCATATACACAATATACAATTTAAAAATTGTACCCAATATGAGAGTTTTTCTTTTAGTAGATGAATATATGCCATTTATATTTGTCGATACAATAAATGTATTAGGCTTTATTTCTTGGTGACAGGGTCTTGCTCTGTCACCCAGGCTGGAGTGCAGTGGTGTGATCATAGCTCATGGCAGCCTTGAACTTCTAGGCTCAAGTGATCCTCCCACTTCAGCCTCCCAAGTGGCTGAGACTACAAGTGTATGTCACCATGCCCAGCTATTTAATTTTTTTTTTTTTTTTTGGTAGAAACAAGGTCTTGCTATGTTTCCCAGGTTGGTCTTGAACTCCTGGGCTCAAGTGATCCTCCTGCTTCAGCCTCTCAAAGTGCTGGGATTATGGGCATGAGACACTGCACTCAGCCTTGGATTTTTTTTTTTTTTATGTGTGTGGTTTTTCTTTTTATAAGTTCAACAATGTTTTGTCTGTTTTAAAACTTCTACTTAACTTTATAGCAGTTTATATAATATTACAGTTAATCTTCTATTTTTTAATTTAGCAAATTTAAATGGTTCTATTCCCTGCAGAAATAAATAAGAAAATGAGCAATTCACACTTTCTGTTAGCTCTTTCCTTATCCAATATCAGCTTGACTAAGCCACAGTCCACAGGCCACATATGGTCCAGGATGGCTTTGCATGCAGCCCAACACAAATTCGTAAACTTTCTTATAATATTATGAGATTTTTATTTTTATTTTTATTTTTGCAATTTGCTTTTTAGCTCATCAGCTGTCATTAGTGTTAGTGTATTTTATGCACAGCCCAAGACAATTCTTCTTCTTCTAATGTGGCCCAGGGAAGCCAAAAGTTTGGACACCCTATTGTATCTTAAAAATGTTAGTTACATGGTGAAACCCCATCTCTACTAAAAATACAAAAAACTAGCCAGGCGTGGTGGCGGGCGCCTGCAGTCCCAGCTACTCGGGAGGCTGAGGCAGGAGGATGGTGTGAACCTGGGAGGCAGAGCTTGCCGTGAGCCGAGATCGTGCTACTGCCCTCCAGCCTGGGTGACAGAGCAAGACTCTGTCTCAAAAAAAAAAAAAAATTACATTCTTATTTTCAATATCTTTTGGTAGTTTCCTATATATTTTATATATAGTTAAATCTTGATTTATCAAAATAGGTATGCTGAAATGATAGAATTTCAGTTTGTTTAGTTATGTATATGCGTAGATTCAGTGAACAAAATATTCAATCTCAAAAGTCACTTAGAATTGTGGTTTAAATGATTTGAGATTGTATTTACTTTTATAATCTTTTTCAACTTTTTTAAAAGTTTCTTTTCTAGTTTTTAGTTTATTTTATTTATTTATGTTTTTATGTATGTATGTATGTATATATTTAATAGAGACAGGGTTTCACCACGTTGCCCAGGCTGGTCTTCAATTCCTGGGTTCAAGCAATCTTCCTGCCTTGCCCTCCCAAAGTGCTGGGATTACAGGTGTGAGTCAAAGTGCCTGGCTCAACTTTTATTTTAGATTCAGTAGTAACATGTACATGGGTATATTACATGATGCTGGGATTTGGTATACAAATTATCCTGTCACCCAGGTTCTGATTCTAATACTCAACATTTAGTTTTTCAACCCTTGCCTCCCTTCCTCCCTCCCCCATCTAGTAGTCCCCAGTTTCTATTGTTGCCATTTTTATGTCCATGAGTACCCAATGTTTAGCTCCTACTTATAAGTGAGAACATACAGTATTTGCTGGGTTTTCTGTTCCTTTTTGAATTCGCTTGTATTAGTTCGTTTTCACATTGCTATAAAGAACTGCCTGACACTGGGTAATTTATAAAGGAAAGAAGTTTAATTGACTCACAGTTCTGCATGGCTGAGGAGGCCTCAGGAAACTTAAAATCATGGTGGAAGGTGAAGAGGAACCAAGGCACCTTTTTTACAAGGTGGTAGGAAAGAGAAATGCTGAGCAAAGAGGGAAGAGCCCCTTATAAAACCATCAGATCTTGTGAGAACTCACTTACTATCATGAGAACAGCATGGGGAAACTGCCCCCATGATTCAATTACCTCCACTTGGTCTCTCCCTTGGATTATGGGGATCACAATTCAAGATGAGATTTGAGTGGGGACAGAAAGCCTAACCATATCAGGCCTGCAGCTGCATCCATGTTGAGGCAAAGGGCATGATTTCATTCTTTTTATGACTCCTTCGTATTTCTTGTTATATATGCACCACATTTTCTGTATCTAATCCACTGTTGGTGGGCACCTAGGTTGATTCCATGTCTTTGATATTGTGAATAATGTTGCAATGAAGGTGTGAGTGCATGTGTCTTTTGGTAGAATGATTTATTTTCTTTTGGATATATACCCAGTAATGGGATTTCTGAGTTAAATGGTGGTTCTGTTTTAGGTTCTTTGAGAAATCTTCAAACTGTTTTCCACACTGACTGAAGTACTTTCCACTCCCACCAACAGTGTGTAAGCAGTCCCTTTTCTCTACAGTCTCACCAACATGTGTTGTTTTTTGACCTTTTTAATAATATCCATCCTGACTGGTATGAGGTGGTGTCTCACTGTGGTTTTGTTTTGTATTTCTCTGATGATTAGTGATGTGGAACTTTTTTTTCATGTTTGTTAGCTTCTTGTATGTCTTCTTTTGAGATGTGTCTGTTCGTGTCTTTGGCCCATTTTTTAATGCGGTTGCTTCTTTTTCATTTTTTTAAGTTTTTTGTAGATTCTGGATATCAGACCTTTGTCAGATGTAACTTTTTTGTTATTAATTTATAACATAATTGCATTGTCATAAGCAAATATAGTCTGATAGCAATTTTTAAAGTTTTTTGACCTAAAAGTAAAAAACCTTGCTTGTGGCCTTTTTTTTTTTTTTTTTTTTTTTACTTATTTCCTATGTGCTAGAGAAGAATTTGCATTCTCTGTTTTAGGTGGAGGGTTCTGTATATGTATAGCCTATTTCATTGTTCAAACCTTTTCTATCCATTGGCCTCTCAATAATAGAGAGCTGTGTTGACATCTCTCCCTTTAATGGTGATTGTCCATTTCCTCTTTTTTTTTTTGCAATTTTATAACTTTATTTGATGTATTTGATGATCAGCGATTAGTTCTCATCCACATCGACTGTCTTTAGATTTTTGAAAGTGGTAACAGGTATGTAGGTAACCAAAATATAGAGCTTATTTGGTGAATCTTCATCCTCATTACGTTTTCTGGACAACCGCACACAGATACCGTGTGGGTCATACCTTATTCCTTTGGCCCAGACCTCTTTGTTGCACCTGGTATCAATGTGCACATCTGGAGTTCCCATCTCCTTCATGGCAAATTGCAGAATCTCTTTGAGTTCCCGAGGGGCACGCTTCTTAAGCCCACTCCATGGATGCACTTGTGAATATTGATGGTGTATTCTCGGGTCACCACCTCGTTGATGGCAGAATGGCCCTTTTTCTTCTCATCACCCTTCTTTGCAGGAGCCATTCTCTCGGGTCAAAGTTGGAAAGCTGTCCATTTCTTATTATAGTTTTAATTACCTTTTCCTTGAGTATTTTGAAGCTATTTAACTATATGTATACAAAGTTAAATGTTTAAACGACCTTGATTAATTGAACTTCTCATCTTCATATAGTGATTTTTTAAAAAATAAATCACAAATAAAGCTTTTCTTTTGTCTTAAATTAAAACAGCTGATATTAAAACAGCTATCCAGGTTGTCTGATTATTAAAACAGCTATCCAGGTTGTCTTTTGTTGATATTTTTTGCCTATATAGTACTGAAATATTTTACCAGTTTCTACCACATAACTTTTTGCTTTATATTTGTCTCATTTATTTTTCTTTTTTTCATTCCCTTTGGCTTATTTTGCTTTTGGTTTTTTTTTTTTTAATCACGTATTTTTTCTTTACTAATTTGGAAGTTATATGTCCTATTTCTATTTTATTGGTTAATATCTTTAAAATTTTATAGTGTACTTTTAACGAAGTCCAAACTTAATTCCTAATCCCCATTTGAAACCAGGATCTTAATTCTAATCACATCTTAATTCTAATCAATACTTCCTTAGATTTATCTACAATTATATATTTTTTCAATTTTCTTTCCTTCTTGCATTCAAATCTTCTTTTCTGGGCTTCTTTTCCTTCCTCCTGAATTACGTCTTTAGGAATTTCCCTAGTGAAGATCTATCACTATGTGTTCATTTTTTCTTTATCTTCCGACAAAGATGAGACCAGGGGCAGGCATTTTTTTGAGAAACTTCTGAGGTCTCTACAAATCCAGGTTGTGATTTTTTTTTCTCAATAAACTCTGCATATATTATTCTATTGTTCTCCAGCATCCATGTTACTCTTAGTTTATTCATCTTTTCTTCCTCCCTAGCTGTTTGACAATTACACAGTTTTAAGTTGAAAATGTTCAGGCCAGGCATAGTGGCCTGTGCTTGTAATCCCAGCTACTCTGGAGGCTGAGGTTGAAGAATCAGTTGAGGTATGATACCACCACTACACTTCAGCCTAGGTGGCAGTGTGAGAACTTGTCTCTAAAAAAATTTTTTTTTTTTTTTTTTAACAACAATAAACACTGAAAATGTTATTTCTAAAACTGATCCCATTTACAATAACATTAAAATATATAAAACAGCAGTTCCAAAAATAACAAATGTGTAGAACCTTTAATGAGAAAATTTTTTTAATTTAATGATATACATTTAAAGAAAATGAAAGTAAATGGAGCAATATACCATGTTTATAGACTGGAAGACTCAATATAATAAAGATATAAGTTATCTCAAAATTGCTTTATAGATTCAAAGAAATTCCAATCAAATTTCTGAAAAGTTTTTTTAGAATTTGTCAAGCTAATTTTAAAATTTGTATGAAATCATCAAAGCGTTCATGTAAAGAGAATACCAAAGTGGGCATACTTGCTTTACCAGATAACAAGAATTATTCTAAAGCTCTTGTAATCAAGACAGTACAGTATTGCTGCAGTGATAGACAAATCTCCCACAATAAAGAACTCAAGAGCCATCAATGTACAAAAATCACAAGCATTCTTATACACCAACAACAGACAAACAGAGAGCCAAATCATGGGTGAACTCCCATTCACAATTGCTTCAAAGAGAATAAAATACCTAGGAATCCAACTTACAAGGGATGTGAAGGACCTCTTCAAGGAGAACTACAAACCACTGCTCAAGGAAATAAAAGAGGACACAAACAAATGGAAGAACATTCCATGCTCATGGGTAGGAAGAATCAATATCGTGAAAATGGCCATACTGCCCAAGGTAATTTACAGATTCAGTGCCATCCCCATCAAGCTACCAATTGACTTTCTTCACAGAATTGGAAAAAACTACTTTAAAGTTCATATGGAACCAAAAAAGAGCCCGCATCGCCAAGTCAATCCTAAGCCAAAAGAACAAAGCTGGAGGCATCACACTACCTGACTTCAAACTATACTACAAGGCTACAGTAACCAAAACAGCATGGTACTGGTACCAAAACAGAGATATAGATCAATGGAACAGAACAGAGCCCTCAGAAATAATGCCGCATATCTACAACTATCTGATCTTTGACAAACCTGAGAAAAACAAGCAATGGGGAAAGGATTCCCTATTTAATAAATGGTGCTGGGAAAGCTGGCTAGCCATATGTAGAAAGCTGAAACTGGATCCCTTCCTTACACCTTATACAAAAATCAATTCAAGATGGATTAAAGATTTAAACGTTAAACCTAAAACCATAAAAACCCTAGAAGAAAACCTAGGCATTACCATTCAGGACATAGGCGTGGGCAAGGACTTCATGTCCAAAACACCAAAAGCAATGGCAACAAAAGCCAAAATTGACAAATGGGATCTAATTAAACTAAAGAGCTTCTGCGCAGCAAAAGAAACTACCATCAGAGTGAACAGGCAACCTACAACATGGGAGAAAATTTTCGCAACCTACTCATCTGACAAAGGGCTAATATCCAGAATCTACAATGAACTCAAACAAATTTACAAGAAAAAAACAAACAACCCCATCAAAAAGTGGGCGAAGGACATGAACAGACACTTCTCAAAAGAAGACATTTATGCAGCCAAAAAACACATGAAGAAATGCTCATCATCACTGGCCATCAGAGAAATGCAAATCAAAACCACTATGAGATATCATCTCACACCAGTTAGAATGGCAATCATTAAAAAGTCAGGAAACAACAGGTGCTGGAGAGGATGTGGAAAAAAATTTTTTTAAAAAAAGAAAAAATGTGTGGTTCAATCTTCTTGTTCTCAGTTTCATTATACCATTTTAGGTATGAATTTCTATATAATTGGCTTTGGTTTTATTGGGTTTTTAAAATACGATGCTTGATATCCTTTATCAGTTCTGAAAAAAATGTCAGTCATTACCTCTTGGTGAGTCATCACCTTTTCTCCATATTCTCTATTGTCTTTTGCTTAGACTCCATTTAGGCCACCATATTTGAAATTTCTTATCTCTTAAATTTCCTTTTATATTTTCCATATTCTTTTCTCACTCTTTTCTCATTGTCTTGGAATCTGCTCTCTCTTTTGATTCTTTAATTCTCTGTCAAATGTGTTTAATATGTTGCTAACCAATCCACTGAGGTATTATTATTATTGTTGTTATTCTTATTGGTAAATGTTTAAGTTAACTGTTAATATTTTAAGTTCTCAGATTTGGTGAAGAGCTGAAGTTTGGTAATTAATTTCCAAGTGTTCATTATATTTTAAAGATAAAATAAAATAAAACAGGCCATTCTTGGGTAAATGACTCTACTGTGTCATAATTCAAGGGTCATGATTAAGCCAGTTTTATGCACCTAATTTCCATTAAAAAGTAAGTTTCAAATAGTCTCAGATTTTATTTTATTTTTTTAAGAGATGGGCTCACTCTGTTGCCCAGGCTGGAGTGTAGGGGTGTGGCCATGACTCACCGCAGCCTATAACTCCTGAGCTCAAGTGATCCTCCCACCTCAGCCTCCCAAGTAGCTGGGACTACCACCATCATGCCCAGCTAATTTTTAACTTTTTTTTATAGAGATGGGATCTTGCTTTATTGTCCAGGCTCGTCTTGAACTCCTTGGCTCAAGCAATCCTCCCACCATGTCCTCCCAAAGTGCTGGGATTACAGTCATGAGTCATCACCCCTGGCCTATTTTTTAGGTATTTTCCATCTAGTAATTATATCTCACATATCTTAACCTATGAAGCCGTTAATTGTCTCAATCTGTTGTTTGTTTCTAATGTTGTTACTCATGTGGCTTGTAAATAAAAATGAAAAAATTGGTAAATTAGACCACATTAAAATCAAGAACTTCTATTTATTTAGAAAAGTCATTAAGGAAGTAAAAGACAAGGTTCAGAGGGAAAAAATTTACATCCGTATATCTGATAAAGACATCAAAAGTACAACATATTTAAAAAATAGCCAGGCCTGGTGGCTCACTCCTGTAATCCCAGCACTTTGGGAGGCCGAGGTGGGCAGAACACCTGAGGTCAAGAGTTTGAGACCAGCCTGGCCAACCATGGCCAACATGGTGAAACCCTGTCTCTAGTAAAAATCCAAAAGTTAGCCAGGCATGGTGGCATGCACCTGTAATCCCAGCTACTTGGGAGGCTGAGGCAAGAGAATCACTTGAACCTGGGAGGTGGAGGTTGCAGTGACCTGAGATCGCACCACTGCACTCCAGCCTGGGTGACAGAATGAGACTCCATCTCAAACCAAAACAAAACAAATCTACAAATCAATGAGAAAATGATCAACTAATAGACAGCTGGACAAATAAGGTAAACAGGTACTTCACAAAAGAGGATATCCAAATGATCAATAAGCCTATAATAAGGTGCTCAAGATCATTCCAACCCAGAGATATTAAAATTAAACAATTAATTCAGAAGTCAGAATACTGATTACCTTTAAGAAGGTGGTAGTGACTGGGAGAAAGAACAAGGGAGTGGGCTTCTGGAACACTGCTTCTAGTTCTTGATTTGGTTATGCGGGTGTGTTTATATTTAAAGAATTTATTGAGCTATTGAGCTACGTGTGGTTATTGAGTTACATTTATGACTTCTGTGTTTTACTATATGTATTTCTCAATAAGAAACTTACTTGAAAAAATGACCTGCATATTCTTGACTCCAAGATATGATATTGACACATATAACATTTGGTTTCAATGTTTATATCTCTCAAATTGACCATTGTAGGTTATATTCCATCTCACATTCATTCTTTGCTAGGTAGTGTACTAAATACGTTATATTCATTATCTTACTAAATCTTCACAATAATCCTGTAAATTAGAAATTAGGCTTATTTTGTATACGAAGAATTAAACTCAGAGACACTAAATCATTTGCCCCAAATCACACAACTAGTTATCCTGCTCTAGCAGTATTTATCTACAAATTAATTTTTAGAACACAAGCAGTTTGTGGATTGGAGTCTTGCCTTATGCCTATTTGGAAAAAATGAGAAGGAAGAGAATGCTGATGACAAATCACAATTGGATGGTCATGGAGACACAGATAAGTCACTTAATGGGTGTCTGTACTTACTAGCTATAATATAAAATACCTTTGACAAGCAGAGGAGTGCTTATTTTTCTCTCCTTGAGTTTTAAAGCTTCGAAGAATGAGAGAAAAGTCCTAAATAACTACTAATAATGATAAATATTTTACTTGAACATGCTCACTTTGAATTGCTTTCTGAGTAAAAAATCTGGAAAATGAACATTACTCTGCACGTGTCCTTTGTTAAGCAAAGACTTCCATCCAACAACTAGGCTTCTGAGGCTGTGATAAATAATTGCTACTGTTTGTATTTTTAAGTCTTATACAGAGAGGCAAACTGCCTAACACTCCAAAGGGATTCTCTTTCTACTAGGAAACATACTGTCTGACATTACATTAAATAGCTTGAAAATACTGTATCCACTGATGCACAGTTGTTGTTAAAGTATCTTAGAATCAATGAAAGAAATTAATAAATAAAAAACCCAGTCTTAAGACCGTCTCCTGGTTTTCTAGCAAAGAAAAAATAAATTAGCACTCTCAGCAGGGGGAAAGCAGTAGATTGCGTGGAACTCTTTTGAAAAAGGAAAACTCCACTCTCAATGTTAATTTAATTTAAGTGAAGTTCTGGATAAGTCATTTATCACCTTATTATGCATGTACCTTGAATAATATTTATGCTTCGATATAAGCTTATAATAAAATATGTTACTATCTCTGGAATACCAATTAAGAACTGGTTAATATGGGAAATATCTGAAGGAAAAGTTTGATAAGAGTTTGGTATAACCCCTTCACATGTCATCTTAGGGGCTATTCCATTAGTGTTATGGTCAAAAACTGCAAACAAGGAACCTTTGATTGTATTTGTCCTGCCCTTGTGTTATTTATGATGCCCTGAGGTTTTCTTTCATTCCCCAAATGCATGCTGTTATCCCTACACTGACTCTGTTTTCAGTAGTCATTAATTTGGATGCTCAGATGATGTAAAAAGAAGACTAAAGCTGATTTGCCACACAGAATCTGAGCAATAATACTGATGACAACATGAATGAGGGTTTAAATATTCTCAGTTTAGCTCCAGAATGAATGTGCTGAGCAAATAATCATATCAGAAATTGAAAACCCCTCCACATTCTTATCATTGTTTGTTTCACCCCTGACTGGGACTTGCTGTTGTTGGGATGCCTCTCCTGTCTTGCTCTCTTCAAGAACTTGTGAGCACTCAGCTCCATGATGCTCTTTGCTTCAGCACAGGGATCTAGTCTTTGCTAGACATCTTACTGCTTTAGTCTCCTCTCTCATGTAAATTGTGCTCCCAGAACCCACCTCATCATAATACTCTCAATCAGTAGATCAGATTATCAAACTTACTTCCATATTTTATAGGAAAAAGATGAAGACCAAATATTATATTTGAAGACTAAAGGGACTGTGTGTTTACTATATACAAAAATAACAGAAGACTGGCCGGACGCAGTGGCTCATGCCTATAATCCCAGAACTTTGGGAGACTGAGGCAGGTGGATCGCCTGAGGTCAGGAGTTTGAGACTAGCCTGGCCAACATGGTGAAAACCCATCTCTACTAAAAATACAGAAATTAGCTGGGTGTGGTGGCGCACACCTGTAGTCCCATATTTAGGAGGGTGAGGCATGAGAATGGCTTGAAACTGGGAGACGGAGGTTGCAGTTAGCCAAGATTGCACCACTGCACTCCAGTCTGGGTGATGGAGTGAGACTCTGTCACAAATAATAATAATAATAATAATAATAATAATAATAATAGAAGACAAATAATAGAAGACAAAGAGAAGGCTGTGACATTGCTGTCAGAAGCACAGTTTAACAGTCAAGTGGGACTTAGACCGCCTAGGTTTAGGTCTCAATACCTCCACTCATTGGCAGTGAGACCTTGGGGGAAGTTACTTAACTCTTTAATTCTCAAAGTTATCATCTATAAAGAATAATACCTAACTATTGGGGATGATGTAAGGATGAAAAGCAATCCTATAGGTAAAATGCTTACTAATTACAGTGCTTGGCACATTTTTTTAAGTGCCCAATAAACATATTAGTTAGTTTTCTTTTCTTTTTTTTAAAGTTAGATACGTTTTAAGGTCTGTTTAGCAGCCCTCTCCCTTCATCTGAGGGGGCACATGACTTTGGCACATGATTCAGGCTCAGTCAATCAGAGTGTCCCATCCTGGGCCAAAGTGATTAATTTAGGTGGGGCAAGTGACTACGGGGCTCCATTATTCTGGATCTTTTTTTTTTTTCCATTAACCAATGTAGTTGCTTTATACAGCTTTTATCATTAATAAGTTACCTAGTATATGCCATAGTGATGAATAATTAGCTTATATTTTTATAGAAAATTCTGGTAAATAACAGTGAAGTAATGTATCACATTTTATAGGTTAAAATGACAGAATGGAAAAGCAGGTCCAGGATTAAGTGAACGTTAGTTTCTTAAGACACTAATAATTATATGAATTTATATAATTCCTTTTGTTTTATTTTTTAAGCTGGTTTGAGTCAGAGTTCTAACTCTTACTAATAGAAGAGTCGTGACCAATATTAATAAATAGTAGTTGTAGTTTATGTCGAGAGACATTCTTCAATGGGCACTGGGAACAGTGCCCAGAGCAGCTTAATCACAGAGTTGGGTGAAAATAAGCTGAGGGACAGATTTGAGTTTTTAATAAAACCAGATAAGCTGACAAGTTTGGGCACTTCAAATTGGAATTGATAGTGTTTTCCTTGAGATTTTAATAACTTTCACAAATCAGGTATAGCAAATATCAAATGCCAGGATGCCAGGATAATTAATAATAGAGGTAAGACATTGCAAATCCTTCCTTTTATTGGAAAAGAGCTGCTCCCTGCCCCTCTTCCCTTGTGGCAGGCCTCAGATATTATGGGAAAGTGTCCTCTTTGATACAACCTGAAATTCATCATTTTAGCATTCCCCAGTGTTCCTGAAAAAAGTTTTAAAAATTCTTTCTCACAATTAACTATAATGTGGTGTTTGACAGTTCCTTAATTTTAGATCTTGTTCATGTTTTTGCATCTGAAGTTTTAAAGAAAAATATAACTTCTAATTCCAGTTTTTAAAAATTCAGTGGTAAAGCAGTTTGGGCTGATGAACTGATTGACTTGCATGAAGAATTTTAAACCTCCTAAATTTTATTAATGTCATCTTTCACCCACTGGTGATCATCTTCATCTAATCTTAGCTTTTAGTACTCCATTCTGAAAACAGTGCTTGCAGGATATCTGATGTCTTGATGATCATGAGACTGGTCAGTAACATTTAGCAATTGTGACTTTACCCTTTACCAAGTTTTCTGTTACAGTCACGCCCATGTGGTTTCATTGGTCATTCCAATATCTAGTCCGTTCATGTTTTTTTCTCTAGGACAGAAACTTGCCTGTATTAGAAAATGCTATAAACAGCAGTGGGCTGTGGGCTCCTCACTGCCTTTTGAGTAAATAATCTTTTTTAATAAAAAGATTGTGTAATTTAAAGGTCACATTTTAACGACTCACTTTAGTCTTTAATATCACCAGTGTTCAGAGATGGAGTTAGCAGTGACATCTGGATAAAAAAGATTCACAATTCTGTTTTTCATCTCTTCCCCTTGGCAATACTTCGTGAGAACAGTGTGAATGAAATTCCAAGAGTAAATAACCAATAGCATAATACACTTTCCAACATGCTGTGAACTAGTGAGTGAAGAAAATTAGAGCTCCAATGGTTTCCTATGAAGGATTTAATAAATTATTTTCTAGTACAAAAATGAGGTTGAAATAGCTGTCATTGCATTTTTATACTTGTACCAGGTTCAGAACTATAACAAAAATCCAAAATTATGAAGGTATTCATTTACAGAATACATTTAAATATGACTAAATATAATTTTAATTATAATTAACCTGTATTGGATAGTTACTATTTTCCAAGTACTGAGTTGAGTGCTTTATAGCTTAAATGAGTGAGTTAGCTCATGTAATTCTCATAATAATCTGTATGTGGTAGGTACTATGAGGGTTCCATCCCTGTTCTCCTGACTTCAGAACCCGGGCTTCTCTTAGCAATGCTATTTTATGGAACTATTACATTTCTTCATTTGCTTTTCTCCTCTACAGATACCCACGTATTTATCATGTCCCACAACTAAACACAAGTTTTAAAAAATTGTTCTGCAAATACCCACACATTTATTTTCATTTTTTAACTTTTTATTTTGAAACAATTACAGATACACAGTAAACTGTGCCACAAAATACACAGAGATACTGTGCTCCCTTCACCCAGCTTCCACCAGTGGTAACATCTTGCGTAACTAAGGTAACACTATCAAAATCAAGAAATTGACATTGGTACCTTCCACATAGCTAATTCTGATTTCACCAGTTTTACAAGCACTCTTTGTGTGCTATAGTTTGTTATAGGGTTGTAATGCTTTCCAACAAATGAAAGCTCCTTGTTTTATCTAGGCAAATATTCCAGTCTTTTTTTTTTATAGCTCTTTCATGACTTCCTTACAAAGATTTTCCCCATCCTCAAATTATAACAATATCTTTTCAATATTTTCTTTTAGTATCTTAGTACTTTTCGAGTTTACTTTTGCATATAGTGTGAAGCAGAATCTAATTTAGTTTTTTTCCCCAAAATGTATCATCAGGTTGTGATAACACTATTTATTGAATAGTTAATCCTTTCCTACTGATTAGAATGCCACTTTTATCATATACATTTATCTTTTTTCTTCTGTATTTTGTTATATTTTTCTTTTTGTCAGTGACTGCATCAATACTATGCAATTCAGATGGAATTTTCAAAAGTGTGTAATTATTGTACTTTTAGCAAGAAAATCACACTCATGCAAGACAACAGAGCACAAATAATTTCTTCTTTCTCTAAATTCCAGTGTGCTCTTGTGCTGGGCCCAAACTCAAAAGCTTCTGGACACCATGCAGGTATCATAAATGTATGATAAAGTCAGTGGTAAGTCAACGGAGATTGGTTTTTATCATAAATAGGTGATTACATGATGCTCCTGAAAGTATGTCAATTCAATATTTTAACATATTTTTCTGTCCAAACAAGTCTGTGGTCTCTAAATGTCCACCTCCAGTCTAGCGGAAATAATTCTGTATTAGAATCAAACAGCTTCTCAAGCTTCATCATTTATTAACTGTGAAACTTTGAGCAAATTACTTAACCCTCTGAACCTCAGTTTCCTCCTTTGAAGAAATAAATAACAATAGTTACCCGCAAGATTGGACTAATTATCACATGAAATAATATGCATTACAATACTGAGTATAGTGCCTTATACATGACTTTTACTCAAGGATGTTAGTGTAATTTAAACAGCAACTTATTAAGGGAAAGCAATGTATCTTTTGATCTAGATAAAGGCCACTTTTAATACACTAAATCGAGGAAGCTAGAAAATGTGTAAATATGAGTTTATTTATGAGCTTTTATATATAGCACTGTTTTGGGTATTATTCAAGGAATAGATATTATTAGATGTAGCCCTTGCATTTGATAAGTCACAGTCTGATTAAGACACAAACATTGTAAAGTCCTTTTTTTTTTCTTCTTGTCCAGCATTCTTTCTTACCTGTTGAGGACTTGACCACTCCACTCTCAATTCATATGCTGCATTGGGTTTCGCCCACAGGCAAGCATACATGTCATAGGACTGGCCTTTTGGATGTGTTCACATTCTAGCTACTGTGATTGCTTCAAATCTGGGCATGAGAACAGCTCAAGGAATTCTGAAACTTTTGCTAGAGCTACTGGGGAAAAAAATGTCCATGAATTGTTACACTAGCAAAATTTAAACCTGAGCTGCTCATCCCTCGGATCGTCTCATAAAAAATAAATGTTTGAGAAGGAAGCGAACACAGAAGGTGGCAGAGGTGAGAGATGGTAGGAGAGACGTAGGCTGATGCCATCACTGGAGCCCCTGAATTCAGCTGTACCTGTATGGTCATCCCTTGAACTTCCGAGTTATTTTTTTAAGTTAGTCGGAACTGTCTTTCAGTTATTTTCAATCAAGAATCCTGAACAATATAGAAATACAATACAGACATTAAAGAAACACGTGAGGGAGCTTACAAAGCAACATAAAGCATCCATCCTCAAGAAATATGGAAGTCCATTTCTCTTTCTAGGTAGAATTACTCCAAGTTAGATGCATACAAACTGGAGAGGACTTCTGGGAGGAGATAATAAGCACCATACAATTAAAAAAAATCCTTGGAGATTGAGGTTTCATTGACCCTCAGTTATAAGGAACTCAAGCATTAATATAGGGGGAGGTCCTATTCATGACTAGCCTGTTTCATGTAACCTGAAGTTTCAACATATTTTCTGAACACTTCCAGCATATTTCCGGGGGTTCAGGAGATAAATTGAATTGAATAAAAATATGGAGTAAGAGAGTTGATTTTGGTACAGTGCTTGGAGTAAGAGATTGATTTAGTGAGGCAGTGTTACAGCAAGGCAAGAAGAGGCCTGGGGTAGAAGTGGCCTGCAGAGGGGGGCTTTCTTCTGCTGTTTCCTCTCCCTCTGCTTCCTACCTTCTCACTGGGAATGTCTTTTGGACATTGTAAATCTGTCTGCCAGACATATCTCCTGGCCACAGAGCTGAAAGCCTCAGCATCAAGGCTGCATTTCTTACTTCAAGACATTACATCATTACATCAAGACAATTATGTCAAATACATATAATTGTGTTTGAAACAAACATTAGAATCTATTAACTGAATACATTTTGGACCATGAGATTAGTTAATAAAACTTCTCCAGCCCAGAGCTAAGGCACAGAGCTGGCCAATTCCTATCTGAGTGAAGTGGAAGGCATGGAGAAATCTGGAACATGGAGAAGGACAAGTCCTTGTGGCCTCTGGCCTCTTTGGGGGCAACATAAGAGGGCATTATGAGAACAAGGGCATTAAGAATCTGGCTGATTTAGATTTGAATCATGATCCTATGTTTATCTGGGCAGTTACTAGGAACTCTGTATTCTCTTCTGTAAAATGAGGGTAATAATGATACATGTTTCACATAATGTTAAGAACATTTGATAAGGTTATGGCCATAGACCATGGTGCCTGGGCATAACTATAGATGCTCAGTATATGTTAACTCTTCTTATCATCATCATCCTTATCATCATCTCATGTTGATGTTGGTTTTATTATAACAGGAAATATATATACTTTAAGAAAGGGGCTGTGTTGAAGCAGATTGACTCACTTTTTAGGTTTGCTCCACACGCAATACTGTCTGCTTGAGAACCACATGGGGATTGGATGGGTAAGGTTGCTCCAGACCACAGTGATTTCAGAGAAGAGTAATAGAAAATTTTGCCACAGAGAAACAAACATCTCTCCTTGAAACATGTCCCATGTAACACAAGGAATTTCGCAGCCTTATTTTTGCCTTATCGCTACAACTATATTATGGCTTATAAATATCAACAGTATCTGAGTGCTTTATCTGGCCCAAATAAATGAATGTTTCTATTGCTACCAGTTTTTCTTCCTCGAATTACAAATGCCACAATGAACAGAAACATCTCTCTTGGAGCACTGTATGTGCTCAATCACATTCTGTTGTTCTCCACCACCCCCAAACATCCAGATGAAATGTAAAATACTCAGTCCATGAATATTGGGAAGCATTGATTTGTATTACTGTGAAGCCAAAATATTTAGATGCAAGGGTTGGGACTTTCTCCTTTATTCTTGCTCAGAAATGCACAAACTTAACCAGAGTCTAGATCTCGAGTCCCATAGAAGCCAATTAGCTTCCATATTCAGATGTTTTCAACAGAATTATTTATATATGTATAAAAGCACAACACAGGATAATGAACGCAACTTTTGTGTTCATATGGACTTTGATTTGACTTTTATTTCATACACTCACTAAACATGTGGAATCTGTCCATTTACCATAGCTCTTTGAGACTCATTAATCTCATCTACAGGATGGAGAGAATCAACTCTGCCATGGCCAGGGGATACGAGGGGCATATCAAAACACTGTGATTTCCATGTAAAACCTGAGAAGAACTGGGAAGAAGAAGAGGTTTTCCTTACAAGAAGGACTGGAGAATAGATATGGCAACTAGGAGAATTAAGGCAATCACACTAATTTATGTCTCTTACACCCTGTGGCCCAGCAATTTCATTTCTAGGACTTTACCCACAGACATATACTCATATGTATAAAAAAATGCTTATGCAGTGATGATCACTGCAGTACTGTTGTTAAAAAGCTTTCTAAACTAAATCCAATGTCCATATATTGGATATTGGTGAATTAAATCACAGCAAAACCATTCAATGAACCACTGTGCTGCAGATAATAAAGTGAGGTAAGTGTGTGTGTGTGTGTGTGTGTATATATATATATATATATATATATATATATATATATATATGGTGGCATAGAGCAATGTCCAAAGATATAAAGTTAAGCCAATAAAGTAATTTGCAGAAGAATATTATATTACAATCCCATTTGTATAAAATGTGTATCCGTATCAATCTATCAACAGTAGTATTTACTAGGATGAGAAAGTTATCTGGGAATTTCACTATATTATCCATTTTAGAAATGATGGATTTCATTACAATGACAATGCATATTTTTGCCATAAGGAAATATAAAGATTTAACCTAAAAAGTCATATTTTTTCCAACCAATGAAGATGAGAAAGCCATTGAAGGACTTTGAACAACAGAGTGATACATCACATTTAACAGGATCACTGTGGTAGCTGTGTTGACAGTGGTTGGGGGAAGCAAGGTGGTAGCAGCAAGACCAGTTATGACACCATTGAAATAACCAAGGCAAGAAGTGATTGTGGCTTAGACTGGAGTTATAGTAGAGGAAGTGGAGTGAAGTGACCTGTACTGTGCATGTTTGAAGACAGTCAATGAGCTCTGCTAGTGGATTGGGTCTGCAATGTGAGAAAAACAGAGGAGTCAAGGACAATTACAAATATTTTTGGTCTAATTGCTTGTTTTATGTTTGTTTGTTTTTAAGACGAAGTCTTGCTCTGTTGCCCAGGCTGCCGTGCTGTGGCATGATCTCGTGCTCACTGCAACCTCTAGGGCTCAAACGATTCTCCTGCCTCAGCCTCCCGGTAGCTGAGATTACAGGCATCCGCCACAACGCCCAGCTAATGGTCTGCTCAATTGGAAGAAAGTAGTAGTCTCACAAGGTTCTTATCTTGCCTTCCATTGTATTATACTCTTCTGGTTTTCCTCCTTCTCTTGTGCACTTAATTTTTGAGTGGTAGTGTGTGCAAAGACTGGTTATGATGCACAATCAGCCAGCATATACAATTTGGGATTCAATGTATAAATTCCCTTCAGAGGGAAGAGGAAAGAGGAAGCCTGAGCCAGGAACTCATCTTCCAGGAACTGCATCTTGAAGGCTTATTACCTTCAAGTGACGGCCATACTGATATGAAAATTATGGACCATGGCAAGACTAGAAAACTCACCAAGGGCATGAAACATCAGAGTGAACTCTCAGAGTAGATTGTCCAAGAAAATAGATGGTTGCAGTAAGCTTTAGGTATTCTCCAACCTGAAATCTTATGACTGGAGCATATTTGCATTACTTTCTTTGTCTTGATACTACAAGTTTCCTAGAATTTGCTGTGACTCATGTATTTGAACAGTTTTCCTTTGGTTTACACAATTTCAAGTTTAAACACCCATTGATGTTATTACATACAATACACTTTCAGTCAGCACTTTAGAATTGTAATCTTCATTTATGCACATAATTTGTTTCTTCAGTTACAAACATGTGGTGCAATTATGTTGGTTTTTATCATTGACTTGGGAATTAGGGTTTGTATTTATGTGATTAAAGTATTCAGTTTTTGAGTAAGTTCTGTAACTTAAATATTTGCTGTGCACCAGTCATAGTTTAAATGGAAAATCAACTTTAAAAGGTAAAATTTGGTGCCATCCAGTGTCATCATTGTGAATTGCAGCATAAGCACAATTGTGAGGAAAATAATTTCAAATGGAAACTAACTACAATTTGCAGAAATACCAATAATGATTTTAAAATAGTATAAATTTGAAATTAAATTTAACTGCAACATGAGATAATATAGAAAAAACCATGGAATTAAGAGAATTGAAACATGTTCTGGAATTGCTTTATTTATAAAATGGGAATATGTTACCTACATGGTAGACAAGAGCTAGAAAAATTTTTTTTATAAGGTCTAAATACCAAACACATACTGTACTTGACATCTACTACATTAGACATATATTATCTTTATATTACACTATGTTAAATAAAATCTTTATATATTGCAAAGAAATTAATATTTGGTTCAACTTATAGGGCATTACACAAGTCTGAACTTTTGAAAGTCATTCACAGGACAAAATATGGGGCACATTTCTGTAGATGCTAAAATTAAGAAGGAAAATTTCTACTAAGTATAGATTTTTGGTCTTCTCACAGAAGTTTTCGGTTGTTCAGGTGCAGTAACAATGGTATATATTTAAAACACTTAATTGAATATGAGATATTCTGTTAGCAAGACTACCTGGTCATGACTTGTGTTAGTTAGGTAATAGGTTTGGCTGTTGAAAGAGACCCTGTAATAACTGTGGTTTAAATGAAATAGAGAAATTGTTCTCTTTCATGTTAAAGCCTGGGCAGGCAATTCAGGACTATGGGACCCACAAAATTATCTGGGATCCAGGCTCCTTCTACTTGTGGTTCTGGGGCCTTGAATACATAGCTTCTCTCTCATGTTCCATGATGACTGCTCTGTTCCTCTTCTCATTCACAGCTTTATCTGCACTTACCATCCTTAAAACCATATGAGGCAAATGGGCAGAGGAGGATGCTCAGAGCTGATTGTATGGTTCACATCTTACTCTGCCCCTAAAATTTGTGCCCCTTTTCTGTGAACGTTTCTGCTCCTGATGGAATATCTGGTACAAAAATAATATTCATATATTCTTCTAACAATGAAACATACATACACTAATTTATTGGTTTATGCCAATATTAAGAAGAAACATAAAATAATACATCTTATTTAGTTAGTTATACATAGTAATATTAAGGGAAGTAAATCAATGCAATTTGTTCCATTAGACCAGTGGCTCCAAAGCAGTAGTTCTCAACTTTGGCTATACATTATAATCACTTAGGGAGCTTTAAAAATACTTGTACCTGAATCCAGCAATCCAAGTTTCTGATTTAATGGATCTAAGATGCAATTTGGTCTGCAGCGGTTTCTTCCCCAGGTGATTCTAAGTACAGCAAGATTGAGAATCGTTGTAGATCGTGGTGCAGAACAGGGTCACCTGAGGAGCTTCTGAGCTTCATCTGTGCCTTCCCACCCCCCCACTCCCCATTTCATTATGACACAATTAACCTGGAGTGGCGTCCAGGCATCAATATTTTTTAAAAATTTCCCCAAGTGAATCTAATTGTAGTTGGGGCAGAGAACCAGTGTTAAATATGAAAGAGAGTTTCTTTTATGATTTTTTTTGTTACCGTATGTATTGGCACTTATGCTTGAATTTATAGCTCTTCTGTCGAATTAAATGAGCAGTTTCTGCTATAGGAAAACTACAGCTATATTGAAATTTAGCTCTCCTTATATGAGCATCTCATTAAAATCTCAAATTTTACCCAGGTTTAGCTGGAATGCTAAACTAATGTCAAAAATAAAATTAACTATCATTTTACACATTTGTGTTTAGGTAGAATTTCCTAACATTTTCCATTGCTATGTATTTTTAAACAACTTGATTACATTTAAATGCAAAACTTTACTTTATCATTCGAAGATCTCATAAAGAGACAATTTTATTGTTGGAAGGACGTCTCAGCAGCCATAGCCTTTTCTACTATTGCCAACACTTAGAATATTCTGGGTTGGGCCGGGAATTCGATATTCTTTTTGCCACTCACATTTCCTCTCTACATATTCTTCTATATCAGATAGCCCAGATACAGTATCATCTGACTGTTGCAAAGCCAGTTGTACTGTACTCAGAATCTTGACCCAACCAGGAGTTTAGCCATGAAGTCGTTGGCTCATGTCATCTTTGTACTCCAGACAGGATTAACTTGTATGTTTGTGTGTTGCAATTATACAAACAAGGTGAGTCATGGATTACTTGGAGCATTTTCAGTTTTGGGGCTTTCAACTTCAGGCCTTTGTGTTCAAATTCCCTTGTACTGTAGCTCCAGCTCTATGTGATACTTAACATATGGAAGTGTGACTGATGAATGCATGAGGACAGTCTCTGAAGGGACCCACAATGACGTGCCCCCTGCTAGTGACCTATGAATCAGGTAACTCCAACTGAGCCAAAAAAAAAAAAAATTCACATATATTTTTGGAAAGCACTTACCAGAGCCTATGATTTCCTTGCATCTTGGATTTCCATGTTGGGGACCAAGAATTTCTTTTTCTGTTACAATAATTAAAATGAATCCCATTAGAGACTTTTGAATACTTGCATAAAATTGGATGGGTTCTTTAAGAAGTATTTTAAAGAAATCCTGTAGTACAGTGTGCAGAATGCATATCCCATTGGGGCCTTATTAAACGATGCCACACGTTAGGGGGACACCTACCCCTCCTTTTCATGTTTTCATAGAAGGAAGGACATTTTCAACTATTTCATTCCCAAGGAGAAAAAGCCCAGAAAAGAGATACTTCCAGCTTTTCCCTGTCCTTTGGCTTTCTTCTCTGTACTGGAAGTAGGTTGACTTATCTGACCACTTTCTTTGAAGAAGAAATTGAATATGGTTGGCTCTACTCCTTCTGTTCTCTCTCTTTTTTTTTTTTTTTTTTTCAGATCAGACTTTGCACGAAGGAGTTGTGTCCTGCTTCTCTCCACAGTGAAATGTACTGAGATAGGCTTTGTCCTTAAATCCATGTCTACCAAACTCAAGTGCTTCCCAGCGATCTTACCTTTTTTCTAGTCCATCCACACTCCTACTCTCCTAGATGAGTATTTCTTTATCTTCTCTTTTCAAACTCCCTTCCCAAACCACGTTATTAGCTGAACACCTTGTTCCTTTCTTCACTGAGAAAATAGAAGTAATCAGCAAAGAACTTCCACAGATTCCCATTACCAAATCTACTAATCCATCTATACCTAAACTCATATAACTGCCTTTCTTTCATTTACACGTAAACAGCCTACATTCCAATCCAAGACCTATCTACTTGTGCTCTAGATCCCATTCATCTTTCCAAGGGCATTGCTTTAGCAGTTTTCCCCAATCATTAATTTCTTTTATTGATCTACTTAATCATTTATATCAGCTGATATACTTTGTACATTCATCCCTGCCCACATTTCATGTTGAATTGTAATCCCCAGTGTTGGAAGTGGGGCCAGCCGGAGGTGGTCACAGGGGCAGATTTCTCATGAATGGTTTAGCACCATCCTTTTTGTGCTGTTCTTGTGATAGTGAACTCTCAGGAGGTCTGGTCATTTAAAAGTGTGTGGCACCTCTCTTGACCCACTGGCTCTCTCACTTGCTCCTCCTTTTGCTGTGTGATGTGCCTGGTCTCCCTTCATCTTCTGCCATGATTGTAAGCTTCCTGAGGCCTCCTTAGAAACTTAGGAGATGACAGTACTATGCTTCCTGTACAGTCTGCAGAACCATAAGCTGATTAAACCCCTTTTCTTATAAATAACCCTGTCTCAGTTATTTCCTTATAGCAATGCAAGAACGGCCTGATACATCAGCATATAAACATACTGTAACATTTCCCACCTAAAAATATAGGTGTTTTATATCCCATATCTCCCACCAGCTTCTACCGTTTCCCTGCTACTCTTGACACTAGAATTTCTGAGAAAAGTGGACTGCATTTTTAGTCTCCACTTTCCTCTCCTCTCATTTTCTAATGAGTCAGCTCTAGTTAAGCTTTCGCCTCCATCACTCTACTTAAAGTTGTTCCACTCAAAGTCAGAAGTGACCTCTCCATTGCTAAATTCAATGTTATATTTTTAGTCTTCATCTATCAGGAACATTTGACATAGCTAGGTACCGTTTTATCTACCGTATTGGCTACTCCTTCTTAATCTCTGATGAATCCTATTCATTTTTCTAATTCTTTTTCTTCTTTCATTTTTTCATTCTTAGATTATTTTCTTTCTTTTTCTATATTCACTTCCTAGGTGCCCACATCCATTTCCACAACCTTAGCATTATCTATGATATTGGGGTGACTTCCCATTTTTTCTTTAGTTAAGTGCTCTTCACTGAAGCCTCTAGACTTGTAAACCCAGGTGCTTACCTGACACCCCCATCTAGATGTCTAGTAGGTATTTTAAATATAACATTGCTACACATTTTTAATTTTCTCCCTTAGACCCATTCAATTTCAGCCCTCTCACTCTCTGGTTTCTCAGTCTTCTAGTTTCTGGTTTCCAAATGACACCTTGAAGTCATTTTTGACCTCTTTCTTTCTCTTGTACCCTAAATCCAATATGTTAGCAAATTCTATTGGCTCCGCATTTGGAATACATTATATCAGGGTTCAATTAGAGAAGCAAAACCACTACAAGATCTATAGATCTAAAAGGATTTGTTGTAGGATCTATAAATCTAAAGATTTGTTGTACGATTTTGTAAAATCTACAAAAAAAGAAAGATTTGTAAAATGATTTATTGTAGGGATTTGACTGTATAGAACAATTGTGGAGCTGATCTGGTTAGGCAGTTTCTGTAAGACTGTTTTCATCACATTTATACTAAATCTTGAGTTCATAGCTCTGGTAGTTAGAAAGGGAAGATAGATATAAATATATCTATATGTGGATATATTCAGAGATATCTCTATCTCTGTTCAGATATGTGAACTATCTGAACTATCTCTGTTCAGATATCTATTCTATCTGAACAAAGACAGAGATATTTCTGTCTGTATGTTTATCTATCTACCTATCTACCTACATGTAGATATTTAAATATATCATTCTGCCCCATAGTCTTTTAAAAGAAGGTCTTTCTCCTGACCCTCCCTAATGGAAAACTTACATGAAATAGAATTCTGAAAAATGTAATTCAACCTAGTCAAGTTGACAAGATACCACGGTCCAATTCTTGCTAACTTGGCATCTATACATATCTCCTTAAACCATACTTCATATGAAATAACAATAACAAAGTCATATGTCTTCCTACTATGCTACAACTATCTCACATGCAACTGAAAAGCACACTAACCCTTTCCCCAGAAAAGACAACAAGTCCTTTTTTGTCTTTGGGTGTTATTCGTTCTCCTCCTGGCTGGTTCACACTCCACTTTGATATCCTGTAACTTAAATACAGACAACCACTATTAACATGTCTTACGTTAAATTATAAAGGATTAAAGGAGCAATAAAACAAAAATATTTGTATAAAAATAAAAAATTCATAACTATGACAGTCCTTATTTCTACAACTGGTCACATAGCATAGCCAATATTTATAGTAATAAATTGTAAGCTTCCTTAGGCCTCTCTAGAAGCTGAGCAGATGCCAGCATTATGCTTCCTGAACAGCCTACAGAACCATGAGCTGATTAAGCCTCTTTTCTTATACATAACCCAGTCTCAGGTATTTCCATACCTTCTTCCATGGTCCTTTCTCTATTTCCTTTGCCCTAACCAAGTCCCTCAACTGGTCATGATGTTTTTCCTGGGTGAGGTGGTCCTAACTTTTACTCTTGAGGGGTCTGAGTTTTTAGCAGTTCTGTTTAAATTGGATTGTTGCAGTTTTCCATGGACTTTGCTCTCAGGAATGTACTAAGAGGTGTCCCAGAGCATCTTCTGTATTCCAACAAACTTCCTATTTGTCTCATTATATAAAGTAACCTCAATTCCTCTATTTTCACCAGTCAGAAACTGACTTTTAGCAGTTCAGTCACCCCCTCTTTCACCTGTTGATTCAGTGTCATGCAGAGCTGAAAGTGTTGAGAGCCAGTCTCAACTCCCAGTTTAATGGATTGTTTTATCTCCTAGTAGGGGCATTACATCCTTTGGAACAAAGACCTCTAGGCCAGCTAAACCTAAAGTCACGGGGGAAAAGCAAAAGTTTTGCTCATGGATCACTAAGGCCATTAGTGAGAGGAGACAGTTCCATTTTCACCTCTTGATTCTTGGACCTATAAATTCTGTCTATGAGCGAAACAGCACCATATAATGGTTGTTGATTTAGGGTGCTACTGAATGCTGGAGAAAAGAGCTTACAATATGTCACTTAGCTCACACAGTAACTGAGTCTTCAAAAGATCATTTTACCATTCTAACAAGTCAAGTGCTTCAGAATAAAGGAGAACACTGTAAGTTTCATGAATTCCATAAGCATGAGTTAATTGCTATACTTCCATTTGCTATGAAATAAATTCCTTGCCTTGTTGTGATACTGTGTGGTCAGAGATGATGCTGGGTAGAATACAGGAAATCCATGAATTGTAGTTTTGACAGAAACATTGCAGAAAGGAAGGAAGATCTCTATCAGAGTAAGTTTCTATTCTAGTAAGAATGCAGGGGAACATCAGCCACCTTGTAGCTCACATGTGGTTTCACTGGCTAGCTCATCTTCATAGTTGCTGGGCCTGCAACTGCTCCCCTTCCTTTGTATCTTCCTTTAGATTTTAAACTTGTATGCGGCTGTGTATGTTCAGAACACATCTTCCAAACATCTATATTACTGTAGTCAGAAGCAACAGGAACTGTCAAGAGTTTTAGTCCTTTCTCATGGGTTCCATCTTGTGCTTTGGGGTCCAGCTTAATCTTTTTTGCCCCCATTTACATTTACCGTCCCTTCCCTAGTGACTGTCTTGCGGACTTCATATTCCAGCTTCAGATATGAAGACAACAATCTGACTCAGACTGTGTGTGGCTGCTCCCACAATTATAGAAGATCAAATTCCGGCTGGGCACGGTGGCTCATGCTTGTAATCCCAGCACTTTGGGAGGCTGAGGTGGGTGGATCACTTGAGGTCAGGAGTTCGAGACCAGCCTGGCCAACATAGTGAAACCCTATCTCTATTAAAAATACAAAAAAAAAAAAAAAAATTAGCCATGCATGGTGGTGCATGCCTGCAATCCCAGCTACTCAGGAGGCTGAGGCAGGAGAATAGCTTAACCCAGGAGGGAGAGGTTGCAGTGAACCGAGATCACACCACTGCACTCCAGCCTGGTGACAGAGTGAGACTGTTTCAAAAAATAAAAAAAAAGATCAAATTCCTGTAACAAGTGTCTTGATAAATACATAGATAGATAGATAGATAGATATTCAAACAGACAGATAAATAGATACATAGGTAGATGTATATATAGATACACACCTCCTAGTGGGTCTGCTTCTCTGACTGAATCCTGATAACAGAATTGCATACTGAGAGTGGTTCCAGAGAACAGAATCTCAAGGATGAGTTATCTGAATTGGATTTGGGTTTTCTAGCATTGGCCCTCTGATCTGATTAGATTTAAAGGCACTAATGACCATGTCTCCAGTGGTAAAGGGAGCACTAGTAGTTCATGGCATGTGGTAGTTCATGGCCAAAAAAGTTACTCAAATTATCTCCTTTAGATACCTGCAATCAAATGCTTATAAAAGGCATTTCAGGTTTTCAAGTATTTGCTACCAATAGAATATTTTAGTGAAAATGAGCAAGATAGAGTTGGTTGGTTGCTTCTAACAATACCTGAGAACTTAGGGAAAGAAAATTATAAGCTCAGGGCTTTAAATTCTTAGCTCAACATTCTCACAAGGGACCTGGAATCTTCTATGTTTACTCTGAAACCATTATCTTCTGTAGGCACAGGACTGAAGTTTATGAAAATGAAAGAAAAAACATTCTCACCTTGTGAGTGGCTGAATTACAATGTCAACTGAATGCCCAACCACACAGGGCCCCTTTGTTAAAGTTACGGCATTGATTGGAAGGAATGGCATTCTCAGAAACTGGAATCAAGACATATGGGCAGATTGTGACGAAGCTGGTGTCTTGAACCTATAAATTACACCAAGCCTTTTTCACCAGAAGAAAGAGCCCTACCATCTCTTCCTCAGGAAGTTAGTCTCGCTTTGCCTAAAACACCTGCAATGGTTTCCCCTGAGGTAGTTGCCTTCCAAGATATTGCTGATCTTCTTCAGGACCTACCCCCCAAAACTCTACTTTCCTCTAGATCTGCAGCCAAACTCAAGTCTTAGCAGACTCAAGATCTCCTCACTACTTAGAATGTGAACTCCCTGAGTGCAGTGACTTTGAGTTGTTCACTGTTGAATCCTCAGCACCTAAAACAGTATCTGGCCCATAGTTTACATTCAATAAATATTTATTGAGTGAATAATGAGTGTCTCTACAGGAAATGCATACAGTTGTCCATTACTGCCTGTAGGAAAATTCAATATGGAGCAAACTGTTAGGAAATCTATTGAGGCTGAATATTTAAGCCACATCCTCCATTCTAGCTTTTATCAATAATGTTCATGCTTTAATCTCTATCAGATTCTTGCATCTATTGGGGTAGGAAAGAGAGGAGTATTATTTATTAGCCCCCTAAAGCCACAATCACATTTTCCAGAAAAATAAAATAAAGCATTTCATTACATTTTTAAATCTTAATTTTCAATTTTTGTGGGTATAGAGTACATGCATATATTTATGGGGTACATCAGATGTTTTGATATAGGCATGCGATGTGAAATAAGCACATCATGGGGAATGGGTTATCCATCCCCTAGGCATTTATCCTTTAAGTTATAAACCATCCAATTATACTCTTTAAGTTATTTGAAAATGTATGATTAAGTTATTATTGACTATAGTCACTCTATTGTGCTGTCAAATGGTATGTCTTATTCATTCTTTCTATGTATTTTTGTACCCATTAGCCATTCCCACTTCCCTTTCAGCCCCCGCCCCACACTACCCTTCCCAGTATCTGGTAACCATCCTTCCATTATCTATGTCCATGAGTTCAATTGTTTTGAATTTTAGATCCCACAAATAAGTGAGAACATGACATACGATGCTTTTCTGTCTGTGCCTGGCTTATTTCACTTGGCATAATGATCTCCAGTTCCATCCATGTTGTTGCAAATTACTGAATGACATTCTTTCTTATGATTGAATAGTACTCTATTGTGTATATGTACATTTTCTTCATTCATTCATCTGTTGATGAACACTTTGGTTGCTTCCAAATCTTGGCGATTGTAAGTATGGGAGTGCAGATATCTCTTTGATATACTGATTTGCTTTCTTTGGGGAATGAACCCAATAGTGGGATTGCTGAATCATATGGTTGTCCTATTTTTTGTTTTTAGGGGAATCTCCAAACTGTTCTCCATAGTGGTTGTACTAATTTATATTCCCGCCAATAGTGTACAAGGGTTCCCTTTTCTTCACATCCTTGCCAGCATTTGTTACTGCCTGCCTTTTGAATATAAGCAATTTTAATTGGAATGAAATTATATCTCATTGTAGTTTTGATTTGCATTCCTCTGATGATCAGTGACATTGAGCATCTTTTCATATGCCTGTTTGCCATTTGTATATCTTCCTTTGAGAAATGTCTATTTAAATCTTTTGCCCATTTTTAATTATACTATTAGATGTTTTTCCTGTTGAGTTGTTTCAGCTCCTTACATATTCTGGTTATTAATCCCTTGTCAGATGGATAGTTTGCAAATATTTTCTCACATTCTATTTTGTGAGAAATAGTTTGTCTTTTCACTTTGTTGATTGTTTTGTTTGTTGTGCAGAAGCTTTTTTAACTTGATGTGATCCCATTTGTCAATTTTTGCTTTGGTTACCTGCGCTTGTGGGATAATACTCAACAAATCCTTGCCCAGACTAATCTCCTGGAGATTTTCCCCAATGTTTTCTTGTAGTAGATTCACAGTTTGAAGCTTTAGATTTAAGTCTTTAATCCATTTGATTTGACTTTTGTATTGGTGAGAGATACAGGTCCAGTTTCATTCTTTTTTATATGGATATCCAGTTTTTCCAGCACCACTTATTGAAGAGACTGTCTTTTCCTCAGTGTGTGTTCTTGGCACATTTGTCGAAAAATGAGTTCACTGTAGGTGTGTGGATTTGCTTCTGAGTTCTCTGTTCTGTTCCATTGGTCTATGTGTCTGTTTTTATGCCAGTACCATGCTGTTTTATTACCATAACTAGTATAATATGAAGTCAGTAATGTGATTCCTCTGGTTTTGTCCTTTTTGCTTAGGATAGATATGGCTATTCTGGGTCTTTTGTGGTTCAATATGAAATTTAGGATAGTTTTTTTTATTCCTGTGAAGAATATTGTGAGGATTAATACTGAGTGTCAATTTGATTGGTTTGAAGAATGCAAAGTATTGATTCTGGGTGTGTCTGTGAGGGTGTTGCCAAAGGAGATTAACACTTGAGTTGGTGGACGGGGAAAGGCAGACCCACTCTTAATCTGGGTGGGCACAATCTAATCAGCTGCTAGAATGGCCAGAATAAAAGCAGGCAGAAGAACATGAAAAGACTAGAATGGCTTAGCCTCCTAGCCTACATCTTTCTCCGTGCCGGATGCTTCCTGCCTTCAAATATCAGACTCCAAGTTCTTCAGCTTTGGGACTCGGATTGGCTTCATTGATCCTCAGCTTGCAGACAGCCTATCATAGGACCTTGTGATTGTGAGTTAATACTCCTTAATTAACACACACACACACACACACATATATATATATATATATTTTTTTCTATTAGTTCTGTCCGTCTAGAGAACCATGATTAAATACAGATTTTGGTATCAAGAGTCTTTCTAGAGGAACAGATTATTAAGGATGGAGTTCTTTTGTTGGTTTTGGCGTTTCTGGAGTTGGCTTCTTAATATGATTAGACCTAAAAATGCTAAGGACTCTAATTCTAATAGTGTGGAGAACACTGGTAGTCTTTGGTGTGGACTGTTTAAAGAGTTATGCAAAATAAATTCATTTGACACACCTGATTCACCACTCGTGAGAGGCAAGGAGTTTAGTGACTCTACACATAATACCTTTGACTATATGTGGAGAACCAAGGAACACAATGACATTGGTTGGTTGGTTGCTTCAAAATTCACTGGACGAGGTGATGAAAGAAAATGATGAACTCAGGGATTCTAACTCCCAGTTTCAGAAGCAGATACTGAGCCTCAAATCTGCTAATCTTGCCCTGAGTGAGAGTCTTATCTCCTGTAGAGAAAGAGCTGAAATTGTGGAAAATCAGACACAAGCTCTTATTATACTAGTGGCTGACCTGCAATGAAAGATGCATGCACAGCCTCACCAGGTGTCTACTGTTAAAGTGAGGGTATTGATTGAAAAAGAATAGAACCATGCAACTTGCGATCAATATATGGAAGGACCCTGATGAAGCTGGGTACACTGAGCTTGTAAACTCTGATGAAACTTTTAGCCAGAAGAAGCAGCTTCTCCATCCCCAGTAGTGGCAACATCCCCTCCCTGACCCATGCTGCCATCAGCCTTTCCACCTTTGCCTGAGGAGATAAACCCTGTGCTGCCTGAGACAACAATGATGTCCTCCCCTGATGCAGTTGCCAGGCAAGATAATGTTGATTCTCCTCAGGAGCCACCCCCAACACCTCTGTTTTCTTCTAGACCTATAACTTGACTAAAGTCCTAGTGGGTTTCTAGAGTTGAGGTTCAGAGTATGAGCCATGAGGAGGTGGACTACACTTGAAAAGAACTGCTTGAGTTTTCTGATTTATATAAGCAGAAATCTGGAGAACAGACATGGGAATGGATATTAAGGGTGTGGGATAATGGTGGAAGGAACATAGAGTTGGATCAGGCTGAATTTATAGATTTGGGTCCTCTAAGTAGGGATTCTGCATTTAATGTTGTAGCTCAGGAAGTTAAAAAAAGGTTCTAATAGTTTATTTGTTTGGTTAGCTGAAATATGGATTAAAAGATGGCCTACTGTAAGCAAGCTGGAAATGCCTGATTTTCCTTGGTTTATGTAGAGGAAGGAATCCAAAGGCTTAGGGAGATTGGGATGCTAGAGTGGATTAGTCACTTTAGACCTACTCATCCCAGCTGGGAGGGTCCAGAAGATGCAACCTTGAACTGTGCTTTGTGAAATAGATTTGTGAGGGAAGCACCTGCATCTTTGAAGGGCTCTGTGATTGCTCTTCTCTGCATTCCAGATCTAACAGTGGGAACCACAGTCACTCAACTACAAAATTTACATGCAATGGGAATAATTGGATCCCAAGTTGGCAACTCCCAAGTGGAGGTACTCAACCATCAAAGGTAAGGTAGGCATAGCTACTGTAATAGACAGCAGAGGCAAAGCAGTAATCAGAATAGTCTGACTCGTGTAGAGCTCTGGCATTGGCTAATTAATTGTAGTGTTCCTAGAAGTGAAATTGATAGGAAGCCTACTGCATTCCTACTTAATTTATATAAGCAGAAAACTTCCAGGTTGAGTGGACAAAAGACTAATTTGAATTATAAAAGTAGAACATAATGACCCTTCAATCAATTTCCAGACGAGCCAGTTTACAGACCCAGAATCCCTCGAATGAAAGGGAGGCTGAGTCCCCTTGAGGAAGGACCCCTACACGCTACTGATAATTTATGCTGTTAATCTTTCTCCCATCCTTTCCCAAGGAGACCTCTAGCATTTTACCAGGGTAGCTGTGCACTGGGTAAAGGGAAATGACAAGACATTTCAGGGACTACTGGACACTGGCTCTGAGCTGACATTGATTCCAGGGGACCCAAAACGTCATTGTGGTCCTCCAGTTAAAGTAGGGGTTTACAGAGGTCAGATAATCATGGTGTTTTGCTCAGGTCTGACTTGCAGTGGGTCCAGTGGGTCCCTGGACTCATCCTGTGGTCATTTCCCCAGTGCCAGAATGCATAATTGGCATAGACATACTTAGCAGCTGGCAGAACCCCCAAATTGGCTCCCTGATTGGTAGAGTGAGGGCTACCATGGTGGGAAAGGCCAAATGGAAACCATTAGAGCTACCTCTACCTAAAAAAAATAGTAAATCAAAAACATTATCACAGTCCTGGAGGGATTGTGGAGATTAGTGCCACCATCAAGGACTTGAAAGACACAGGGGTGTTGATTCCCACCACATACCCATTCAACTCTCCTATTTGGCCTGTGAAGAAGACATATGGATCTTGGAGAATGACAGTGGATTATCATAAGCTTAACCAAGTCATAACTTCAAGTGCAATTGCTGTACCAGATGTGGTTTAATTGCTTGAGCAAATTAACACATCTCCTGGTACCTGGTATGCAGCCATTGATTTGGCAAATGCCTTTTTTTCCATTCCTGTCCATAAGGCCCACCAGAAGCAATTTGCCTTCAGCTGGCAAGGCCAGCAATACACCTTTACTGTCCTACCTCAGGGGTATATCAACTCTCCAGTTTTGTGTCATAATCTTGATCACTTTTTGCTTCCATAAGATACCACATTACACTGATGACATTATGCTGATTGGATCCAGTGAGCAAGAAGTAGCAAATACACTGAACTTATTGGTGAGACATCTGTGGGCCAGAGAATGGGAAATAAATCCATAAATCTGATTAACATTTAGGGACCTTCTACCTCAGTAAAATTTCTAGGGTTTCAGTGGTGTGGGGCCGGTCAAGATATTCCTTCTAAGGTGAATGATAAGTTGCTGCATTTGGCCCTTCTTACAACCAAGAAAGAGGGACAATACCTAGTGGGCCTATTTGGATTTTGGAGGCAACACATTCCTCATTTTGGTGTGTTACTCTGGCCCATTTATTGAGTGACCTGGAAGGCTGCCAGTTTTTAGTAGGGTCCAGAAGAGGAGAAGGCTCTTCAACAGGTCCAGGCTGCTGTGAAAGCTGCTCTGCCACTTGGGCCATATGACCCAGCAGATCTAATGGTTCTTCACGTGTCAGTGGCAAACAGGGATGCTGTTTGGAGCCTCTGGCAGGCCCCCATAGGTTTATTACAGTGCTCTAGGATTTTGGAGCCAGGCTCTGCCATCTTCTGCAGATAACTACTCTTCTTTTGAGAGACAGACCTTGGCCTGTTACTGGGCTTTGATGAAAACTGAACATTTGACTATGAGTCATCAAGCCACCATGTGACCTGAACTGCCTATCATGAACTGGGTGCTTTCTGACCCATCTAGCCATAAAGTGGGTCGTGAACAGCAGCATTCCATCATCGGATGGAAGTGAATATACCTGACTGGGCTCGAGCAGGTCCTGAAGGCACAAGTAAGTTACACGAGAAAGTGGCTCAAATGCCCATGATCTCCACTCCTGACACCTTGCCTTCTCTCCCACAGTCTGCACCAATGGCATCTTGGGGAGTTTCCTATGATCAGTTTACAGAAGAGAAGGCTACAGCCTGGTTCACAGATGGTTCTGCATGATATGCAGGCACCACCCCAAAGTGGACAGCTGCAGCACTGCAACCCCTTTCTAGGACATCCCTTAAGGACAGCAGTGAAGGGAAATCTTCCCAGTGGGCAGAACTTTGAGCAATGCATCTCGTTGTGCACTTTGCATGGAAGGAGAAATGGCCAGATGTGTGATTATATACTGATTCATGGCCTGTAGCCAGTGGTTTGGCTGGATGGTCAGAGACTTGGAAGTATAATTGGAAAATTGGTGACAAAGAAATTTGGGGAAGAGGTATGTGGGTGGACCTCTCTGAGTAGTCAAAAACTGTGAAGATATTTATATTTCATGTGAGTGCTCACCAAGGGTGACCTCAGCAGGAGTGTTTACTAATCAAATGGATAGAATGACTCATTCTGTGGACACCACTCAGCCTCTTTCCCCAGCCACCACTGTCGTCACCAAAAGGACCCATGAACAAAGTGGCCATGGTAGCAGAGATGGAGGTTTCATGTGAGCTCAGCAACCTGGACTTCCACTCACCAAGGCTGACCTGGCTACAGCCACTGCTGAGTGCCCAATTTGCCACAGCAGAGAGCAACACTGAGCCCTCCATATGGCACCATTTCTAGGGGCGATCAGCCAGCTACCTGGTGGTGGCAGGTTGGTTATATTGGACCACTTCCCTCATGGAAAGGGCAGAGGTTTGTCCTCACTGGAATAGACACTTACTCCGGATATGGGTTTTCCTATCCTGCATGTAGTACTTCAGCCAAGACTACCATCCATGGACTCACAGAATGTCTTATCCACCCTCATAGTATTTCACACAGCATTGCCTATGACCAAGACACTCACTTTATGGCTAAGGAAGTGTGGCAGTGGGCTCATGCCCATGGAATTCACTGGTCTTACCATGCTCCTCATCATCCAGAAGCAGGTGGATTGAAAGAACTGTTGAGTGGCCTTTTGAGGTCACAATTACAACACCAACTAGGTGACAATACATTGCAGGGCTGGGGCAAAGTTCTCCAGAAGGCTGTGTATGCTCTGAACCAGTGTCCGATATATGGCACTGTTTCTCCTGTAGCCAGGTTTCACTGGTCCAGGAATTAAGGGGTGGAATTGGAAATGGCACCATTCACCATCACCCCTAGTGATCCACTAGCAAAATTTTTGCTTCTTGTTCCCATGACATTATGTTCTGCTGGCCTGGAGGTCTTAGCTCTGGAGGGAGGAACGCTGCCACCAGGAGACACAATAACAATTCCATTAAACTAGAAGTT